>NC_000003.12:164463149-164614664 GCF_000001405.40 Homo sapiens | reverse complement strand
TGATGACAGAAAATTATGTTACCTTAGTGGAATATTTTATAACCCTATGTTGCACCGACATTTAAAGATAACTAATGAAATAATGCCATATTATTAACAATGCAAAATAGTACAAATTCAACTGGAGTTCTTCTGAAAAAAACGTGAACTACAAAGTATATATCTCAAAGCCCTCAAATTTTTAGGTATTGACACTTGAAGTAATTTATTCAGACATTTGAGTTATGTCTTACTTTTTATGATTATATACTTTTTAGGAAAGAAAAGAGTGAAGGAAGCACAATAAAAAATAGAAAAGTAGTTTTCATTAATTTTCCAATGAGTTCTCAGTTCCTGTAGTTGGTAGTTAATTGAAAGGTTTCCAGTGGTGTCAAAGGAAATAACATAAGTTGTTTTGACAAAAAGTTGTAAATGAAGTCCACCTTTTTAATTAGTACCCTGAATGTTGACCATTCTAAGCACTAATTTATTACTGGCCTTTTTAACCTCAGCTATGAACAATGTGCTATAATGAAATTTAATTTAACTCCTACATTAAATTTTTTTTAAAAAGATTGTTAATACTAAGCCTGTGAAATTATTTTTTAAATGTGGACAAGTTCAATTAAGACCCACAAAAGGAAGTGAGGGTGTCATCTGGAGGAGAACTTCTGGCCACGCATACTAGTATCTTAATGAATTAATCATTGTCCAGATTGACATTTGGCTTGCAGAACAAGAAACTCAATCTCATCACCATCCTAAAGCTGTTTCAGCTGGGTAATGTTAATTTATGTCAGTAAAGCTAAGAAAGATTGAGAATAAAATTTAAAAGATATGATATGAGGTATCACTCCCAGGATATTAGATAGGTGAGACAATCTGACTAACTCATACTTAATTTTAAAATAAGCTACCCAGTAGAACAAGTAATCAGAGGCTGAGTTAATGCTCAGATAAAAGAGACATAGTTTAACAAATGAAAGTAAAAATCCAACAGGCTCTAACAGTTGGAGATAATATAGCAAAGTTTGCCAGATACTTACATAGGGCATCAGGGAACTGCTTCAGGACAGTGAGTTAGTTAGTTGGCATTGCATCCCTTTGTGCCTATGACCCTGCAAAATGTGTGTGAAATTTACCTTATTCTAAACGATTAAGATTTTTTTCTGATTAGGTTGATATGTTAAACTATTTTATGTTTATGCTCTATGGGTACTGGAGTTGTCCTGTTAGATACAGTGTCTTATAATCAATCTAGATATTCCACACAAAGTGTGCCTATAAATGCAAGTTTCTTTTCTTCTCTGAGAAAAGGATTTCATAGTTTTATTAAATTGGAATCATGTCCAAAAATTTATAATCTGCTGATTTAAGGCAAATTGGGCATCTATCTCTTTAGTTCACAATTTTGATTTCAGAGGACAATCTTGTTTACCTTATTTCCTAGAACTGATGAGGCATATGACTTTTGCTCCTTGAATGAAATATAAGTTTAATAATCACAAAAGCAAAGTTATGTACAGTTTTTGAAAGCATGTATTAATTTTATATTGCTACATAATGCATTAACATAAACTTTTTAGCTTAGTAAACATTTATTTATTATCTCACAGGTCTGTAGGTCAGATGTTCAGGTGGGTTTGGCTGGTTTGTCTGGACAATATCTCACAATACTTAACCTACAAATAGGCACTTGTCTGGAAACTGAAAGAATCCACTTTAAGCTAAGTCATGTGGTTAGCAAAATCTAATTTTAACAGCTGTACAGGAGGCAAAATTTTATCTCTATCCTTTTAGATTTTTGGTTGGGCTTGAGAATTAAATGGACATAAAACAGATTAACAGGAGAAAAACATACACATTTATGTAAGTTTTATGTGACACAGGAGCCCTGATAAAGAAATGAGGACCCAGAGAAGTAGCAAAACCTAAATGTTTTTATATTAGGCGAAACAAAGACAGGCAATTGTGGAAAATTAAATGCTGTGGGGAGATAAAAGACATATAAGAATTATCTTTACATGATCTACTTGTGCAGAATTCTCTTGATTATGACTCTTTGGTTATGTTTCTTTTCTCCTAGTATAGGCAGGGAGGGTACCTTCACATGGGAGTTTTTTTTTTTTTTTTTTGACAGAATCTCGCTCTGTCACCCGGGCTGGAGTGCAATGGCATGATCTCGACTCACTGCAACCTCCGCCTCCTGGGTTCAAGCAATTATCCTGCCTCAGCCTCCCCACTTGGGAATTTTTATTTCCTTTTTTGCAGGAAGAAAAAGGGAGATTAGAATGGCTTTATTGCATCTAATGTTTGTCAAGTGCCTTTAGCTCAAAGTAATCTATATTATGGAGTGGTATATTCTGCCACACTTCACAGTGGTGAGTCTGGAATCTCTGTAGCCTTGCTGGCTGTCAGGTACAGGCCACTCACTGTTTCCAGAGGCCACAGCCTTCTTCTCATGTGGCCGCCTCCATCTTCAAATCAGGCATTGGTTTAGACAGATGAGACAATCTGACTAACTCATACTTAATTTTTAAATAAGCTACACAGTAAAATAAATGATCAGATAATATACAGGAATTGTGTATTAAGTCTTTCTCACAATTGGCATTTCTCAGACTTCCCTTTTTGCCATCAGTTGGAGAAGGCTCTCTATTTTTAAAACGATTCATGTAATTAAATCAGTTCTTCATACATTATATCTTCATTTTAAGGTTTATTGTGTGTGTGTGTGTGTGTGTGTGTGTGTGTGACAAGGTCTCACTTTGTCACTCAGGCTGGAATGCAGAGGCACAGTCACAGCTCACTGCAGCCTCAACCTCCTGGGCAAAAGTGATCCTCCTGCCTCCACCTCCCAAGTAACTGGGACTACAAGCATGCACCGCCATGCCCAGCTAAGTTTTTTATTTTTTTCCGGAGAGAGGTCTCACTATGCTGTCCAGGCTTGTCTCAAACTCCTGAGCAGAAATGATCCTCCTGCCTTAACCTCCCAAATTGTTAGGATTACAGAGTGAGCCACTGTTCCTGTCCTAAGGTCAATTTCTTATTTGTAGGATCTGAGGATAAGGTCAGGACATTGTTGGGGTGCCATTCTAAAATTTTGCCTAACACAATCGAAAAACCAATCATTTACTAATTTAAAAATATCTAAGATTATGCCCGGGCACGGTGGCTCACGCCTGAAATCCTGGCACTTTGGGAGGCCGAGGTGGTGGATCACGAGGTCAGGAGATAGAGACCATCCTGGCCAATATGGTGAAACCCTGTCTCTACTAAAAACACAAAAATTAGCCAGGCTTGGCGGCGCGTGGCTGTAGTCCCAGGAGAATCGCTTGAACCTGGGAGGCGGAGGTTGTAGTGAGCCGAGATTATGCCTCTGCACTCCAGCCTGGCAACAGACTAAACTCCATCTGTAGATAAATAGATAGATAGATAGATGATAGATAGATAGATAGATAGATAGATAGATAGATAGATAGATAGATGATAGATAGATGATTCTATACCTAAAAACTCAATATCAAATTTTATAAAACTTTTCTTTAAAGAAAATTTAAAAGCCAAGAAACTTTGTGACTGTATAAAATTAAAATCAAGTGATATTCATTTGATTGTTAAAATTGAAGTCTATTACTATTTATTCTGCTTTTGTAATCTTAAGGTGACATACAGAGAAAGACATAAAAACTCTTCTGGTATAATAAATAAATTCTGTAGTAATTAAGATTTCCAGGTTAGTATTATCATAGATTTGTATTGTATGTCTGATAGGTAATATTCATACCTCAAATATATTTTAAAAAGTAAAATTTAGAATAATTCATCTTAGTGACAATAGACTGAATAGTGGATAATTGAAGTGGTGAAAAGTATTATTAGAAAGACATTTCTGTATATGAGCTGATTATCTTGTGAATATATCATATTGAAAAAATATAATGAGAAAAATCAAGCCATTCATGCTTAAAATTATAATTTTCTAGGAATTTTTAAAATATAAGCTCAACTGTAAGGCAGGAAATAATTATGTTTGAATAACATCACTTTTCAGGATTTATTTTTATATTTATGTGAAGATTGCACTTCTAATACTCTTGGATCATTTGAGAAATCTCTGCTGCATATCATCTTTTATTGTTCTTACATCAATTATAAGGCAAATATATAGATTTTAGGTTCATATTCCCAAGATACTGATGTGAACTGGCTCAAAAATAATATTTTATGTGGAATTTTTTCACTACTTTAACATACGTAATATTACCAGCTATTATCAAATATACTTAATAACTTAAAATCTTTGGCTATAATTATTACTGTGGCATAGGACTCTGAGGCTTCATCATGTTGTTAAGCACTACCTTTAAAAGGTAATCATTTAATTTAATTTTTGAGGAACTGCTGAACTGTTTTTCACAGAGGCTGCAATATTTCACGTTCCCACTAGCAATACACAAGGTTTTCAGTTCCCTACATCTTTGCCAACACTTATTGTATTCTTTTTTTAATAACCACTGTTGTAGGTATAAAGTAATATTATAATATTGATCTGTGTGTCCCTAATAACTAATATGTTGGGCATCTTTTATGTGCTTATTGGCCATTTGTATATCTTCTTTGGAGAAATGTTTATTCAAATTCTTTGCCTATCTTTTTAAATTGGGTTGTTTGTTGTTTAGTTGTAGGAGTTCTTTATACATCCTGGATATCAATCCTTTATCAGATATATGCAAGATATATTCTGCCATTCTCTAGGATAGGTTTTTACTGCATTGATAACATCTTCTGATGCACATGAATTTTTTAATTTAAATCCGATTTATTATTTTTGCTTTTCTATGTGTTTTTGGTGTCACATCCAAGAAAACATTGCCGAACTCAATGCAGTGAAGCTTTTCCCCATATTTTCTTCTAAGAGTTTTATAGTGTTAACTCTTAAGTTTAGGTCTATTGTTCTCTTTAGTTGCTACTTTTATAGGTACAATGTAAGGGTCCAACTTCATTCTTTTGCATGTGTATATCTAGTTTGCCGAGCATTATTTGTTGAAGAGGTTTTAATGTAGTAACTCTGGAAATCTGATTCTCCTACTCCCCAGCGATCACTGATTTTGAAAGTTAATGGTAGGGAAATTCTTAAGTAACACAGTTTTCAATTAAATTAAAAATCCTAGTGTTTAAGATAAATGTGGCCAAAAATTTCGTCATGACATATTTTTTTAACCCAGATATTAAGGAAAGCATTATTGCAATCTTGCATTATGTTTCTTTTGAAATTTTTGTATATTTAAGATGCGTTCTTGAGAGAAACTTAGTATGGTTATCACAATAACAAAAAATAAAATTGGCATGGTTACTGTAAATTAATCGGAAACCCTTTCCTTACAACTGAGATGAGCTTTATTTGGATATGTTAAACTAGGAATTTCTGGATTACGTGAAACCAAGAGCTGTGTATGGTGTTTTAAAAAATTTAGACAAATTAAAGTTAGCAGAGTTTATTCCAGCACAAATGAGTCCCGAATCAAACAGCACCCCGGACCAAAAGAGTTTCACAAAACCACATCAAGCAATGTGGTCAGGCAGTATTTGCAGACAGAACAAGAAAATGACTTACGGAAACAGCTTGATGGATTACAGCTCAGCATTTGCCTTATGTGGACACAGTGTGATCAGCTGGATGTCTGCCATGGGCTGAAGATACAGATACAGAAATATATTCTTAAGTTAGGTTGCAGTTTGTTTACATACTAATTCAGGTTGCAATTTGTTATGTAGGAACACAAAGTACCAAGGAAGCCTCAGACTAAATTTAGTTTAATTTAACATTTCCCTTTCAAAATTGAAAGGATGACCAAAATCCTGGGCATTGATAGCACTCTCTGTTACCATCATAATTGACTTCTTTGTCTCAGTATGGAAGTCACAATTCTTGATAAGTCAGCTGAATGTTTCTTTACGTTCTCTTCACAGTTTCACTTTTCTAACCGTAGTGAGACAATTTGATGTATAAGGGATGGCTGCATATGAACTTTCAAGACTCTTGAGAAGATATGAAATTCCAGGTACACTATTATGATAGCTATTAGGCGAATAATACTAGGAGACTAAAGTATACTCTTTAGAAGGAGCTCCTGTAAACCAAACTGATGAAAATCAAATAGATAAAAAATGAGCCAAAAGAGGAATCTACTTGTTTTAGCCAGGTATCTTGTTGAGTTTTAACCATAGCAGGCATATTTATCCAAGTGCAGTAGGAGGTGTTAGCTATGGCACACACCTCCTCTTCAGCCAACAGGCAGGTTAAAGCAATTGTTTGATCTAAAACAATTTTAGCAAAAGAAGTTTGCTGGGCAACTGTAGCTTTTGCAGTGGAGTCAGTATATTACCTAATGTTTGAAACAGATCTTTAATCCTAATCTTATTTACATTTAGCCAGAGAAGGAGCATTCTCCCAAAATATGCCCATTTGCAGGAATTTATGCCTGCTGGCAAATTCCTTTTTATTCCATAGTGCAAATTAAGAGGTGTTCAGTTTCCAATTTGCTTTGGCGTGACAGTGGTACTATTAGAATTTCTAATCCACGTTGGCCTCTAATTTTCCACTTATGGGTACATGAAGTTGCCAACACGTTGAGCATTAAATCCTGTAGAGATAAAGTATATCCTAGTGGGGCACAACAGACAGGTCCCTGGGAGATGCCTTGTGCATTAGGGGTCACAAGCAGGGAAGCACTAGTAATATTTATCTGAGGCGCCATTATTATATGATTACCTGGTTGGAGGCTACTGACCATTAAAGGAATAAGGTGATACATTTGCCTCTAAATTTTCAATTATCCTCTTTTTTTTTTTTTTTTGCTTTCTTTTTTAATTTCTGGCATAATTTAACTGTAAAACCCTCATTATACGTTTTTCCTACTGCATCTGAATGCCTGAAACTAAAAGTGTAATCTATAGAAAGTGTAATCCTATAGAAGAAAACACGCATTCCACTTGGAATATCAGTAAAATTTGTTACAGGATAAACCAAATAATCTCTAATAGCATGTAAGGATTTAAGTTTATCATGATATAGCTAACATTCAGTTACGTTTCCTGTGGAAGCTATTGATTAGGAAATCTTAATTATCTTGCCATACATAAACGGAAAAGAAACAGGCAAAGAAGACAGGGGAAAGAGATTTTATGATGGCAGAGGACAGAATTCTTGATCTGTAATCTTAGGAAAGCTGTCTAGGCTGTTACCTGGTTTTGAGGAAAAACCACTCTTGTTAGTTTTACCTTGGGGTCTTCAGTGGGTTTACAGTCCCAAGATTCTGAAGGGGTTCTGTTAGATTGAGAAAAGTGGATCTAAGCCTCGAGACCCTTAAGTTATACTGCCATGTGGGTAGAACTTGGTATGGTCTCTTCCAACAAACTTCGAAAGCAGTCTTTTTGTGGTATAATTTCCAAAGACCCAATCTTCAGGTTCTAGGTTGTACATGGTTAGATTGTTGTTGGGTCATGAAGGGCTTTTACCTGGTGAAAATATAACTGGGCAACATGCTTTAAAGCCTGGCAATATTGAGTCATGTCACAATTCATGAATGTGAGATACATGAAGTTCTATTATTAGGGGCATAGGCCTTCCAATGACTATTTGTAAGGGGTCAATTAGTGTTCCCCAGTGGGATTGGATCTGATTGCCATCAAGTGATAATACCTTTGGCCAATCCAATTTATTCAGTTAGATTCCTGGATGCGATTGTGTTTGAAATACTTGACTATTTTGCAGCTCGTTCAGTAAAATGAGCACCTCTATCACTGGAGTTTTCTCCAGGAATATTCCATAAGCAAGCCTATTTTCTCACAAAATAATTATGTATTTAACCAGAGTGATAATCCAAAAAATTCAAAGGCAAATACAGTAAGTAACATAGTTTTAGGAAAAAAAAAATTAACTTTTTAATAGAGAAGACTTGTTTTTTCTTAAATGATAAAAAATCAAATAATGACAACATTAAGTGCAAGATATCTTGGTAAAATACTAAATCTTTGTTTCCTAGGCCAGTTTCTCAAAAGGTAAAGGAAAACCTTCCACAGTTTCATATTAAGAGCAGTTCAATACCCTAAGAAAATCTTTTTTGTTAACAGAGAGGACCAAATTCTAGTTTTACATGAGTGTACTTTTGATGTTAATCTTAAAGTTTTAGAAACACTTACTAATAATTCCCTTCTAAAGTTGATCACATATAAAGTTTCTTTTACAATATTCATCTTTCATAAACTTCCATAATCTTCTTTTATCCTTTTGGTTATCTGTCTTATATTTTTGCTTTTTCTCATTTTGAAATAACTATTATACTCTAGGATAAAAATTACTATTTTTCCCTTAAAAAACACATATTTGATTTAAGCTTCACTTACCAAAATCATGTCTTCTGTTTCTCATCTAAGAAGTTGTTTCCTTTTTTATTTCTAGTTTTAATTACTATATATTAATTAGAATCTTAATTCTTAGCAATTATGAATCAGGATTTTGTAGATTAATGAACTTTTATAATTTCTGGAATTATGTGTTTCCTCAAAGTGTAAGTTCTCATGTTTATTAACAATCCCAAATATATTCAGTTTCTCTATACCATATTAAAAACAATATGGCAGAAGTACAGAAACATAAACCTGTTCAGCAATTAATGTTTTGGCATTATATTTGTAAATAATCTAGATGCTTAATGAATATCTATCATTTAATTTAACTTAGTAGACCTCCAATGGTGTAAGTTTCCAAAGAGATTTGTAAGGCTATTTTTAAGTACACGTGTCATAACCCAAAACAAAGCATGGCACCCAAGTTATTTCCTTGCTAATTACTTTTACTGCATATGCATCTTATATAGTCATCACAAAAGTAATGAACCTAAAGAGCTAGAAACAAGATTTTTTTCATGTTTAGTTGCTGTCCTTGATATATATGAAATAATGGATATTATACTTCAGCTTGCCCATTTGTTCTTAACTTGAAATTATAGTTTTATTATTTTAAACATCTAATAAAGATACAACTTATTGGTCTGCATCATACTTAATGCTGACAACTCTGATGACATGCCTGCTTGCATTACACCAACAATATTTTTATTGATCAAAGATCACCTAAGTCATGTGAACTTAAAAAGAATTTGGGTTAGTAATTATTTTTCTGAAAGAACAATTAGTGTATCTATTTTTAAAGCCAATTAAATAAAGCTCTTTAACAATGTAACTTGACAATATAATAAGATTTTTGAAATCACACATAAACACCATACATTCAGACATAGACAGACATATTAAAAAAACATGTGTCCAGTACAATACTACAAAACTTACTAATTGATGAAAACATCCAGATTGGATCTGATAATTAAGTAGACTCAGTCGTGAAAAGCTGGAGAGCCTAACACACAAAATTGGGAAGCTCTAATATGAGAGAGAACTCACCCATAACCCTAATTGCTGTAAGAGATTAATGGACACAATGATCCCTGGAGGTTACCTTTGCTTGGTCACTTGATGCTCCTAGGGTTGATGGAGGTCTACATTGGATCTAAATACTGACACACCAAACTGTTACAAGACTTTAGATAAATAAATTTAGTAGAGTTTATGTGATCCCAGAATGATTCATGAATTAGGTAGAAGCTTGAACCAGCTGAAGTTCAGAGCGCTCGACCCACTAATGTGAGCAGGTCATATTTATAGATAGAAAAAGAAAGAAACACACAAAAACAGCTTGATTGATTACAGCTGGGCCCTTTCCTTATATGGACATGGTCTCATAAGTTGGGAGCCTGTGATCGGCAGAAGTTTGGTTGCTGTGATTGGCTTAGGCCCAGCTAGTTGTTCAAAGAATGTGCTCCTTGGTTAGCGTGGAGTTTGTTTGCATACTATGTTAGGTTACAGTTTGATAGGCAGGCAATGAAAATACAAAAGCAGGCTTAGGCCAAATTTAGTGTAATTTAACAATGGTGAATCA
Organism: Homo sapiens; assembly: GCF_000001405.40. NCBI lineage: Eukaryota > Metazoa > Chordata > Mammalia > Primates > Hominidae > Homo > Homo sapiens. The sequence goes on along the minus strand of NC_000003.12, from coordinate 164,604,685 downwards.
AAAGCAATATAATATCCCCGAGTATCAGTAAAAAGTGCTTAATAAAAAATAGTCATGATTACAGGGAACATATTACCTACAAATTGTTATTGTAATGTTGCAAATTTGGCCAGCACAAAGCTGGACAAAACCTGGCAACTGAGAAGATTCAATGTGACCTAGAGATGGCCAATATTATTTTTGGTGTGTGTGTATGTGTTTTAATCTTATCATGTAAAAACAATTAACATGAGATTTGGCCTCTTAACAGATTTTAATTGTGCAGTACAATATAGTTATCTATAGGCATGATGTTGTACAGAGGATTCTTATAACTTAGTCAGCTAGAGTAATTGAAATTTTATACCCATTGATTAGTAAATACCCCTTTGTCCCTCCTCCAGCCCCTGGTAACCACCATTCTATTCTTTGCATCTATGAGTTTGACTATTTTAGGTAACTTATATAAGTGGGGTAATAACGTATTTTTCCTTCTGTGACTGGCTTGACTTAACATAGCAATAATAGTAGACTTCAATATCTCACTTTCAATAATAGGTAGAACAAAGAGACAGAAGATTACCTAAAAAACAGTAGACTTGAATAACTATAGATTACAGGTACCTAGCAGACCTATTCAAAACATTCAAGCCAACAATGGTGAAATATATATTCTCCAAGATAAATCACATATTAAGTTACAAAACAAGTCTTAACAAATGTAAGAAGGTTGAAACATACCAAGTGTCTTCTAATCACAATGGAATAAAACTAAAAACCAACAGCAGAAGAAAAACTGAAGAATTCACAAATATGTGAAAATTATACAACATATATTTGAACAATCTCTGTGGCAAAGAAGAAATCAAAAGGGAAATCATAAAATATTTTGAGAAACAAAAATTAAAACTCAATATGTTAAAACTTATGGGATGCAGCAAAAGCAGTACTAAGCATAACAATTTTGGCAATAAATATCTATACTAAAATGAAGAAATATTTCAAATAAACAACCTAACTTTGTATCTCAAGGAAGTAGAAAAAGAGAACAAACTAAATGCAAAGATATCAGAGGGAATCAAATAATAAAGATGGGAGCATAAATAAATAAAATAGAGACTACAGAAACAATAGGAAAAATCAACAAAACTCATAATTAAGAGTCAATTTTTAAAATAAATAAAATTGACAAAACTTTAGCTAGACTAAAAGAGAAGACTCAAATGAATAAAATCAGACATGAAAGAGGAGGCATCACAGTTAGTGCCACAGAAATAAAGAGGATCTTGAGAGACAAATATGAATAATTATCTAACAATAAAAACTAGAAAATCTAGAGGAAATGAAAAACTTCCTAGAATTCAACGACCTACAAAGGCTAAATCATGGAGAAATAGAAAGTCTGAAGAGGCTTGTAATGAGTATGGAGATTGAATCAGTAATGAAAAACATCCCAATAAGTAAAAGTCTAAGATCAGATGGCTTTACTGGTGAATTCTGTCAAACATTTAAAAAAGAAATAATGTCATACCCTCTCAATTTTTTTCAAAAACATGAAGAGAAAGAAACATTTCCACATTCATTTTAGGAGGCCAGGACCACCCTGATACCAAAACCAGATGAAGACACCAGAAGAACATAAAATTACAGGCCAATAATCCTGATGAACATAGATGCAAAAATCCAACAAAGTACTAGCAACCAAATTCATCTGTACATTAAAATGATCTTACATAATGTCCAGCAATAATGTCCAGGCATGTTTTATCCCTAAGATGCAAATGTGGTTCAACATAACCAAATGTATAAATGTGATATACAGCATTAACAGATTGCCTCAATAGATGCAGAAAAAGCATTTAAAATTATTAACAAGCATTAATAATTTTAATGCTTATTAAAATTAAGCATTTGACAAAAACTCCCAACAAATAAGGAATATGAAAAATTACCTCAACATAATAAAGGCTTTATATGAAAAGCCCATAACTAACATTATATTTAACATACTTAACGTTCATCATAGTTTGTGAAAAATGTTTCAGTTTTTACCGTTAAAAACTGAAAGCTTTTTCAGTAAGACCAGGAATAAGGCAAGGATGTCCACTTTTCCACTTCTATTAAACATGGTATTGGACATTCTGATCTGTGAATTAGGAAAAAGACATAAAAGTCATCCAAATCAGAAAGCAGAAAATAAAATTGTCCCTGTTTACAGATGACATGATGTTATATGTATTATAATAGAGCATAATTAAAAGGAAAATAAGAAAACAATTTTATTTATAATAGCACTAAGAAGAATAAAATACTTGGGAATAAACTTAACTAAAAAAGTGAAAGACTTTTACACCGAAAACTACAAAACATTGATGAAAAAAATTACAGAAGACACACAAAAAATGGAAAGACATTTTATGTTCATGGATTGGAAGACTTAATATTGTTAAAATAACCATACTGCCCAAAGTCATCCATAGATTCAATGCAATTTTTATCAAAATTCTGTTGACTTTTTTTTACAGAAATAGAAAAAACAATTCTAAATTTTACATGGAACCAAAGAAGACAGCAAATAGAGGCAGCATACTTCCTGATTTCAAAATATAAAACAAAGATATAGGAATTAAAACAGCACAGCACTGGCATGAAGATAGACATACTCATCAATGGAAAAGAATAGAAAGCCTAGAAATAAAACCACACAAAATAATAAATTTTCTACTTGAAGATCTGATATCATTGATCTATAAAACTGGCATCATTTAATTATTTGCTATGTTCTGCTAACGGGCTATCACAGAAGTAACCAACTCCTTATTGAGTACTTGACAAAAGGAAACTATGTTCTATATTTTTTAGATGCATAAAATTAATTTATCTAAATGAAAAATCATGCTTTACAGAGTGTAAGCAATAGTACTTTCAGCAGTTGCAACCCTTTGTCTTTTGGAATGGTCTTCCTAAGACTACTACATTTCACAGAAGGTTGAATTATCAGCCTAGGAAAATGTCCTAAGCCAAAGGAAGTATCTGGATAGCTACTGAAAATGCTTTTGCAGGCCAGGCGCAGTGGCTCACACTTGTAATCCCAACCCTTTGGGAGGCTGAGGAGGGTGGATCACTTGACGTCAGGAGTTCGAGACCAGTCTGGCCAACGTGGTGAAACCCCGTCTCTACTAAAAATACAAAAATTAACTGGACGTGGTGGTGCGTGCCTGTAATCCCAGCTACTTGGGAGGCTGAGACAGGAGAATCACTTGAATCCGGGAGGTGAAGGCTGCAGTGAGCTGAGGTCACACCACTGCACTCCAGCCTGGACAAGAGTGAGTTTGTCTCAAAAAAATAAAATAAAATAAATAATAATAAATAAAAAGAAAGAAAAAAATCCCTTTGACAAATTATGACAGTGAGATAAGTCTGACATAGTTGACTCCATCATGCTTCTGACCTCTAAACCATCCTTGGTCATTCCTGGGCGTAGTAGGCCAAGCAAACTTTGGGAGGAATTTAGCTTATAGTTTAATCTTAAAACAAGGATGATAGTAGTGCTTCCCAAAACCAAACTGAGTAGTTTCTGTAATCCCTTACTCCTCAGGGGTTATGTGGCCAGAGGTCACAAGATGTGTGACCATTCCAGCTGCTTCTATAAATAACATCGTTATTGTAGAACCTAAGATTGTGTTTTTGAGATGTTTTCCAGAGTGAATACACCTGGACTTCTGACTCATGATTCAATTGATCTTGTGGCCCCATCTAGAATTATATACCATTTCGATTAATTATGAAATGGCATATAACAAAAAGTCCCATTGGGTAGGTAGTCTAGACCACTAGTTCAAGCTATTCTATTGTTTGTATGTTTTTTCCCTTAAATACTTTTCAAATTCTGTGATATCTGTTGGCTTAGCAAGTATTTATTTGCTTATAGTGTAATGAAAAATCCAATGTGTTCACAGATGCATTTTCTGATTAATATTTATAATATAATTTTAAGGAATACTTGATTTTGGACAATCTTAACTACATTCATCCTGTTTCCTTTTTTTAACTTTTAAAATTGTAAAGTTTTTCAATTAAAAGAACACATTAAAATTATGCTTATGAAATATATATAGATGAAATTATGTGTGGTATTTATTATAAAGTAAATCAGGAGGGAAGTCATTAGGTATACAGATAAAGCTAGTGTCATTGATGAGTAAATGGGAGCCCATTACATTATTCTCTCAAATTCTTTATATTTGAAATTTTTCAAAATAAACAGCCACAAATAATTATAATCCTATTAGAAAGTAATTGCTTAGAAATATTTCTGACTTTTTCCCAAAGTTACCTATTTGAATCTTTTTATTATGTTACATGAGATCAAAGTGTTTTAAAAATTATACTTGGAGTCTGAGTGCAGTGTCTCACACCCGTAATCCCAGCATTTTGGGAGGCCTAGACAGGCAGATCCCTTCAGCCCGCGAGTTTAAGACCAGCCTGGGCAACACGGCAAAATTCCATCTCTACAAAAAATAGAAAAAATTAGCTGTGTGTGGTGGTGTGTGCCTGCCTGTTGTTCTAGCTACTCAGGAGGTTGAGGTGGCAGGTATACATGAACCTGGAAAGTCGAGGCTGCAATGAGCTGTGATTGCGCCACTGCACTGCAGCTTTGGTGACAGAGTAAGACTCTGTTTCAAAACAACAACAGAAATAACAAATATGTGTGTAAATACACACATACATATTATAGTACTGAAAGGTTAGAAGTCACTTCCTGGCTACCAGGAATAGTTTTTATATTTTGATGCATCAATCTTCTTTATTAGTATATTTCTTTCATTTTTTTCACCTAAGTTCAAGTTATAAGATTGTAGCATCAGATATTAAGAAAAATAATATATCTCACTGGTACTAAGAAAGATCATTATGTATTATTGGGTATACTAAGTTAAGTACATTAGCCAAATATTTATGCCAAAGTAAATATTAAAAGAACAAAAACAAGCAAACCTAAATTATTTTTATTGTTTTATTTCTCCCTTATTAAATCTAAAGATAAAAGAACACATGTGTAGAGTAAGCAAAACTTTCTAATTACTCTCTTAAGCCCTAGCTGGGCCTGAGAATCAACTTGGTATAAGATAGATTCACAGACAGAAACCATTCAAATTTATTTAATGAAAGTTTTAGATAATCTGGGAGCCTTGGTAAATAAGTAAACACCCAAAGCAGTAGTAAGAACTATTTTTTTTTAAATTCTAAGTTGACCAATGTGAAGTAATTTGTGTGTGTGTGTGTGTGTGTGTGTGTGTGTATGGGAATGTAACTAAAATATGTGGGGAGACCAATGAAGACAACTATTTGAAAAAAAGATTGTACAGAAAGTTTTCAGTTTTAACCTCCATTCCTTTATGGTAAATATATATATATATATATATATATATATATATATATATATATATATATATATTTCCTGTTTTCCTTTTTTTCTGAGACAAGTCTCTCTCTGTCACTCAGGGTGAAGTGCAGTGGTGTGATCTCAGCTCACTGCAACCTCTACCTCCCAGGTTCAAGAGATTCCTCTGTAGTAGAGACTGGGTTTATCCATGTTGGCCAGGCTGGTCTCCAACTCCTGACCTCAGGTGATCCACCTGCCTCAGCCTCTCAAAGTGCTGGGATTACAGGTGTGAGCCACTGCGTCAGACTGGTAAGAATTTTTTCTTTTATCCTCCTGGCATAGAAAAGGAAGCTTTCATATGGAAATTGTATTTCTTATTTTAAAAGAAAGAGGATCAGAGTACTCTTCTTACATCTGCTGTTTTTCAAATGGCTTTAACTCAAAATAGTCAATTTGCTAGAGTAGCATATTTTCAGGTGTCACATTCTAATCTCCTTCACATGCCTTTAAAAATTTTGAAAGCCACATACCTGATCATTTATCTTTGTTTTGATTAAAGATTTAATTAAAATGTAACAAATACATAGCTCTCTCCCCATTCAATATGTTTTCTAGATATTCTCTAACTTGTTATGTACAGGCCTTTTTAAGGTCTTATATTATCTTTGCTAATGTTCATTATGTATCAGAGAATGACTCATTAGGTTACTGTATTTTTGAATATACAGTTCACCTACATGCTGACATTAATTTTTAATTACAAGTTTTACAAATAGAACTGCTGTCCCCCTTCCTGGTTTTGTTTCTATTCTCTGAATGAATTTATTTTCCAGTTGAAATTCACAAGTTATATACATATTTTTATGACTTTTCTAAATATAAAACAAATTATATATCTAAAAACTTTTAAAACTCCTACAATGCAGAGAAACACCTAGAAATAACCTCAAAGGAAGAAACTATAAAGATAGAGGTAGTTTTGAATACAGAAATACTGTCTTAATTTTCAGAAAGTACAAAATTTAAAGTCACATGAAACGTGGGAAAACACATGATCATGAGCTTCTATTCGTTTTTACGTCTTTCACATCACTACACTGTGAGCTCGTTGGCTACAGGAAGTGTATCTTTATAATGAAAACAATGCTTTTTATCTACTTCTGCAAGTCTTCTATCAGTCTATGTTCTGGACTATGTTTTCAAGGATATTTGTATAGCAAATGGCAAATAACATCCCCTCTGAGGGAAATGGCAGATGTGTTTCCACACCAGAATAATAAAGATAATGTCTCCTTCCAGGGAAAGGTCAGCTAAATTTGCTAGCGCCATGGTTAGAAGATTGGGAACGTCATGTTCTCTGGATTTCTCAACTGTGACACAAACACACCCAGGGTGCAGTATCCACCTATATCAAGACCTGCGGACTATGGAGTCAAGGGAAAACAATGCAAACATAAACTTCATGCTGCCTGGTGTGCCATAAATAGAAAAGTGTTTTTCCTTGAACCTAAGAATCTCATACCTTCTCACAGTATCTATGAAACTTTCCAACTAATTTGTCAGGTTAAATCCTAGTAAAATATCAGACCTTGCAAAGTTCTTGACATATCAAATCTTTGCCTGATACCTTGTGTATGAATCTTATTGGAGACAAATACAATAAATTTGAATCAAAAAGTAGTAATTGAGGCCAAGGATGTTGAATCTTGCAAGAAGGTTGAAGTTTGCATCTTTAGTAACTAAAATAGTGTCTGAGAACACTGAGTTAAAAACAAAAAAATTTTAAAAAGCCAATCAACCACAACAAATGTATTGAATAAGCAAATGAATTAGAATTCAAGTATTTTGTCTCTATTTTAAATGTTCTCCTACTGCACTATAAATACTAGTTAGACTTATAAAATATAGTTTAATTATTTTAGTAAACTTAACACTTAGGAAAAGTCTATCACTACTTGGACCTGTTAATTCTAACTGCATGTTGATAGAGGGTTCTTGATTCATTTTGCATGCCAAAAACATCATAACTGGAACATTTTATTTTTGAAAAACAACACAAAAATACGCATCTAAAATTTTCCTTTGCATATAAAATGAACTCAATGTTAATACTCTCATGTTTTCAATATAATCATTTTAATATAATCATTTCAATACATATTTTATATTTTTAACTCATATGTATAAGTGTTTATTCACATAGTAGCAAAGTCAGTAAAGTGCTGAAGATGTGCCTTTTACTGCTTTTTCTTTGTGTACTTTTGCACTGAAATTAAATTGAATGGGAATTGTGTTTTTGTCATATGTGATTCAAAGTGGAAGTGAGCCCTCCAAATAAATATGCCTGAGAGATAAGTAAGCATGTCAGTCAGGACACAAGAAGAAAATAGATTGTGGAAAGAGAACTAGACACGGTACTTAAAGAATGTGATTTCATGAGAACTACTGAAAGAGCGAAACAATAAGAATTTATATTGAATCATGAAGAACACTTGCAAAGAATGGTGAAAATACTGATGAGATTTACAAAGGAGGTCACTGAAGAGAGAAATGAGGCTTGCTCAGAACAATGAATTTTTTCTTGCAAATGAATTGTGTTCTGCAAAGAGATAGTCACTTCATATATCAAAACAGTGGTGAATGAGTTGTCTCCTTGCCATCACCAAAGGACCCCAGATAGTAAACCTTAAGATAAAAGGAGATAAGGAGGAGGAAGAGGAAAAGGAGCAGTCCTCCTGTAAGGACTCTGCCAAACCCCTTGGGAATGTGAAACAGCCCTGGGAATCTTAAGGCATATCAGAAAGTGCAGCTTCTTTGCCAAAGCAAAGTATGGAATTGTTTGGGGAAAAAAAGTTGCAAATGAAGTAAATCAGTGGGAAACAGAAAATATAAACCGTTGTTTTTAAAATGTCATCAACCAGTAGAGTCTAGAAAGACAAAAGATACAAGACCTCTAGAAATGAGGTCTGGTAAGAACTTTGTTAGTCCACATCATACAGTTGGTTTTCTGCTTGGGAGTGAATCTAGCCCAGTATACTAGGATCTACCTGCTTAGAAACTTATTTTCCAAACACAAAGAGTAAAAAAGACCCAGTAAAGGATATATTAATTATAATAATCAATGTCATAATATCTTTGCAAGTGTGTAAATCTTTTGGTAAGTAAGTAACGTGTTAAGTACAGGTAATACAGATTCAAAAATATTAAAATGCCTTCCATAATCCCATTGATAGAGGCAGAAGCCAGAGAAATTCTAGGTGGACATGGGTGGGTCTCCAGCAAAACCCCACCTTCAAGCTGAAAAGACTGAAACCCATGGCCCAAAGTGAGAATTTCTATCCCTGTTTGCTGGCTCTCTCCCAACTGGTTCTTTCTAAATAATGTCTTTTCACAAATCTAATGTTGCCTTTTCCAAAAGTATCTATGCACCACCAGCAGCCCCCACCCTGTGCCTGTAACGACCCCAGACTCAGTCAGTAGAGAGGGGGAAGCAGCTTGACTGGAAAGAATCAACTTGATTTGAGGGGGACGGCTGGACTTTAGAGGAGAGATGGCTTAACTTTGGAGAAGAACTGGCCAGATATAGCTGGACTTCAGGGAAGATTATCCACCTGTCCTTCCACCCCTCCAGCTCCCCTCTCTGCTGAGAGCCATTTTCATTGCTAAATAAAATTCTCCACCTCCACCATACTTCAACTGTCCATGTGACCTCATTCCTCTTAGATCCCGGACAAGAGCTTGGGACCCACTGAGCATGGGTACCCAAAAAAGGCTGTTACACCTGCCCCTTTGCCATCACTGTCAGAGGGCAGCTGCCCCACCTGACAAGGCAAGGTACCCACTGAGCTGATAGCATATTGCTGTCCATGGATGGTGGAGCTAAGAGAGCATTGTAACACACACTCTGGGGCTTCGGGGGTCACAGGCACCCCCACTTGGGCTCCACCATGGAGTCCGCACAGAGCCTGCTCTTGCCAGTGCCCAAAATGGCCAGCCAGATCCCATGCTCACTTGCTCACTCTCTCCTTCCCATAAGAGGTTGAATGCAGCTGTTACAATCCCCTGTTGTAAGTCCAACCCAGGGGTAGAGAAAAATTCCTGCATCACCATGATATAGAGATAATGGAATGAAATGTTAAAGTCCCATTTGTCTTTTCCCAACAATTTCATTGCAGTTGTGCTTCAGGCACTTGGTTGATTATGGGGGATAAAATGACAAACAATATAGCTATACCCATAAGGAGCACATATTTTATTAAAGAAATAAGAATTAGTTACAGGAACAACAACAACAAAAACCTAGAGATTTAAATGTGCTGTGAAAGGCACTGGTTGAATGTTGCCTAGAAATTGTTAATGTTGCTGAATAAAAAGTTACTTTAAATGGGATAGGATAAGAATATTTCTCTGAGGTGGGGAGTTCTAAATTGAGTCCTAAGGGATGAAAAAATCCACGTGAGGAAGCACGGAGAAGAATATTTTAGGCACAGGAAACACACAGGGTGACTATAGAAAATAAAAATGACAGTGTCACGAGATTAGGTTGGAGAGAGAAAAAGTGCAAAAAATATTGCAGCGTCTTGTAGACCAATCATGAATGATTGATTAATCTACCCAATTATTCAATTAATGTTTATTGAGAACCTATTATGTGCCAGGAACTATTCTAGGCATTTGGGAATATTCTCTATGGAGTTTACGTTTTACATGAGAGAAAACTGACAGTAAATGCAAAAGATAAGAACAACACTTAGTATATTGATAGGTGATCAATGCTTCGGAGAGAACTAAAACCATGAAGGGAAAGAGGGAGTAGCTCTATGGAGAATGAATTATAATTTTTATTATGATCTAAGTAGATATTACAGAAAAGGTAAGAATAAAGGCTTGAACTGATTTGGGGGTAATGTTCTGTGTTACATTTTAAACATGCTAATGAAATTGCCCTTGCAAAATTATGACAGTAAGAGAAATCTGACAGAGTTGACCCTAGCTTGCTTCTGACCTCCAAGCTGTCCTTGGTTATTCCTATAAATAGGCCAAGCTAACTTGGGGAGAAATTTAGTTTATAGGTTAACTTTGAAACAACAATAATAATAATCCCTATCAAAAACTAATTCCCTCCCTCTTCCTGCAGCTGAAAGTGCTTTGTAAGACTGAAGAGACATTATGAGATACATGTAGTTTCTATAGTTCCTTACTGCTCAGGGGCCATGTGGCCAGAGGTCACAAGATTTGTGACCTTCCCAATTGCTTTTATGGATAACATCACTACTGTAGAACCCAAGATTTTTTGTGCGAGATATTTTTTAGAGTGACCTCACCCAGACTCCTGACTCAGGACTCAACTGATCCCGTGGCCACACTCAGAGGCAGATGCAAATGGTTTTCCACACCTCCATGATTTCATCTTCAACCAAGTAGCAGTACCCATTCCCTAGTCCCCTGCTTTCCCGAGTGTACATAAAAACTCCTAACTTTGGAGCCTTTGGGAAGACTGATTTGAGTAATAACTCCAGTTTTCCCTTGGGGACTGGCCTTGCATCAGTTAAATTCTTTCTCTACTACAACACTGTGATCTTAGTGGATTGATTTTGTCTGTGCAGTGAGCAGAAAGGACCTGGAAGATGATTACATTAAGTTGAAATTATTCTTGGATACCAACTGAAAATTAGCTGGCTATAGTAAAAATTTAATTATAAGTTATGGAAATTTTCAAGATCTTTTCACTGTTTTATGAAAGAATAGCCTGGTAGATGTTTGGAGTATTGACAAGAGTGGACTTTGAAGGATGTGATCATGAAAGATTATTAATGCTGTTTGAGATTAAATATGCTGGCTTGGACAGTGGTGGCAATAGAGTTGGAGAAGAAACAGATTTTAAATATAATTTAGAAGAAGAAACTACTGAAGACACGATAGATTAGATATAAGGCACAAAAATAGGAAATATTGAAGAATGCTTTGGAAGTTTTTGGTTTGAAGAAATCAATGTTTATTCAGGGCATGACTAAACTATTAGAAGGTGAAGAATACTAAAGATATAGATTCTGTTTGGGGTGTAGTGTGGGAGGGAGCTAAAGCCAAGAGTTTCTCTTTAAAATTTACAAAATAACACATAAAAGTGAGTTGGTTAGTCAGCAAGTTACTGACAACAACTCTTTTTAAGCTCTTGTTTTGTGTCAGACACTGTTATAGTCTCTAAAGGACACAAGAAAACAAGGTAGAGAGATTTCTTGGCATCTCTAAGCCTCATATTCACTCTTCTGTAAAACTGGTGTCTACTAAATGAAGTTGTGAGGATTATATAAATAAATAACCATACTTTTCCATAGTAATTATATTTGCTAAAAGGTGACCACTGTAGAATAAAACTGAGAGTGCACATTACAGTTGGAAGAATACATTTGATTGAAATTTGAATGTTAAGTAAGTAATTGTATGCAAACAGTTAAAGACAACTCTTCCTGCAAAGTAAAATATTCTAAGGGTTTGAGGTTCACTGGGAAGAACCTGGGGTCCCATAAAACATATTTTAAAAAATTGAAGTCTAAATCTATGATTTATTACTTAGCAAGTGGCGGTTAATTGGCTTGGCTCAAACATTCTGTTTTCTACCTTTGCTTTAATTTCCTCAAGTAAGTGCACTAAATTTCCCACACTAAGATATTAGAAAATAAAGTTAATCTACACTCCTAAGGAGAATGAAATTAATTTAGTCACCAAAATTTAGTAATGTTGTTTCAGTGCTGTCAGATTGTATTTTGAAATCTGTCAAATTTCCATGCATCAGTGATCAAAAGCGACCCCTCCAGTTTGATTTCTCTAATATACAGGTAAATTTATTGACTGTTTTTCTTTAAAATGTCTTTTTTTCTCTTCTTTTATGTTTTGTTGTTGTTTTCCAGTGAACAATTTACTATTTTAAACACACTTGCTGTTACCAATGTTGAAAGCAAAAATTATGGCTTCAACTACTTTTTATTTTTCAGTGATAGGTTTATATATTTTCATTTAGAGAAAAGGAAGTTGCCTGTTATTGCCTACCATTGAAAAGCAGAATATGAGTCTAGATTTAACAACTGTATAAATCTACAAAGCATCATTCTTTTTGGTGACACTATTAGTTAAGTTGATAGGTTGGCTATCATGACTCATTTTCCATTTGTTGAGTGGGTTGAGGATTTCTTTTTGGAAAAACACTAAAAAGGGAATATTTTAAAAATGTGATTTTCTTCATATTTTTCCTGATTGATTGCACAGCTTTTTCTCTGTGGCTTCCTCCTCATCCAACATGTTTCAGCTTTAACAGCATCTTTTTAAGAGAGGCTTTCACTAATCACTCTGCAGAATTAGCTCTCTTTATACTGTGCTCTATCCATATACCTTGTTTATTCCCTCAACAACACTCATCAAAATTTCTAATTATGTTCTTATTTTTTTATCTACTTCACTTTATTATAATTTCTACAAGGTCAGAGACCATTCCTGCTTTATGCGCTTACTTAAAACATTTATAATTTTGCATAGGAATCTTTTCAGCTAGCTCTCTAGCTCCTGTCAGTCCAGTGCTGTGGTGACCAGGTCCTCATAGGCTTGTACCAACTTCATAAAAGCACCTCATCTGGGGCCCATATCCATCACTTTCCTTCTTATTATGTAGTTTTCTTATGCACCTGAGAGAGACGTGCCCGGTAAACCCACTTAGCCCTTACGCACACAAAACTTCAAACTGTGGAGAAGTCAATGCTTGTGAATTTCTGGATCAATGGGGAATAAGAGCAAAGGACAAATGCTTGTCCCTTTAATCTTCTGACTGGACAGTTTTGAAATATATGTCACAAAGCTCCTCAGAAGTCCTGAAGAACTGAACATGAATTGCTATAATCTGTGGCCAACTCGATAATGCATTCATCCATTAACCTTTTCTTCTTCATCTCATTTTCCTTTTCCCTCATCCTCACTCCCTGGTATAACATTACCAAACAAACTAACTTCTTGCAAACCATTGTCTCAGGCTCAGTTTTTATGATACCCTAAGATAGGCTATTTCAATTTAAATTAATTAAAATTAAATTAAAATTAAAAATTAGTTTATCAACAAAATCAATGCACAAAAATTACTAGCATTCCTATACATCAACAACAGCCAAGTCAAGAGACAAATCAGGAATTCAATACCATTCACAATTAACACAGAAAGAAAGAAATACCCAGGAATATAGCTAACCAGGGAGATGAAAGATGTCTATAAGGAGAGCTAAAAAACTGCTCAAAAAATCAAATGGAAAAACAAAAAAAACAAATGGAAAAACATTCTATGCTCATGATAGGAAGAATCAATATTGTTAAAATGCCCAAACTGCTTAAAACAATTTGTAGATTCAATGCTATTCCTATCAAACAACCAATAAATTCCTCACAGAACTGGAAAAAACCCCTATTTTAAAATTCATATGGAACAAAAATGAGCTGAATAACCAAGCCGATCCTAGGCAAAACGAACAAAGCTGGAGGCATCAGATTACCTGATTTCAAACTATACCGTAGAGCTACAGTAACCAAAACAGCATGGTACTGGTACAAAAACAGTCATATAGACTAATGGAACAGAATAGAGAGCCCAGAAATAAGGCCACACACCTAAAAACATCTGTTCTTTGACAAAGCTGACAAAAACAAGCAATGGGAAAAAGGATTCCCTATTCAACAAATGATGCTGGAATAACTGGCAAGCCATATGCAAAAGATTGAAACTGGACCACTTCTTTATATCACAGACAAAAATTAACTCAAGATGGATTAAAGACTTAAATGTAAAACCCAAAACTATAAAAACTCTGGACGACAACCTAGGCAATACCATACTGGACGTACAAATGAGTAAAAATTTCATGATGAACATTCCAGGAACAATTACAACAGAAGCAAAAATTGACAAATGCAATCTAATTAAACTAAAGAGCTTCTGCGTAGCAAAAGAAACTATGAACAAATGGACAACTGACAGAATGGAAAAAAAATTTGTAAACTAGCCTCTGATAACAGTCTAATATCCAGTATCCATAAGGAACTTAAACACATTAAGCAAAAATTGACAAATGGGATCTAATTAAACTAAAGAGCTGCTGCATAGCAAAAGAAACTATGAACAGATGGACAACTGACAGAATGGAAGAAAATTTTTGTAAACTAGCCTCTGATAACAGTCTAATATCCAGTGTCCATAAGGAACTTAAACACATTTGCAAGAAAAAAATCAAACAATCTCATTAAAAAATAGGCAATACGGCCAGGCACAGTGGCTTACACTTGTAATCCCAGTACTTTGGGAGGCCGAGGCAGGTGGATCACGAGATCAGGAGATCGAGAACATCCTGGCTAACATGGTGAAACCCCATCTCCACTAAAAATACAAAAAATTAGCCGGGTGTGGTGGTGGGCGTCTGTAGTCCCAGCTACTCAGGAGGCTGAGGCAGGAGAATGGTGTGAATCTGGGAGGCGAAAGTTGCAGTGAGCGAGGTGGAGCCATTGCACTCCACTCTGGGTGACAGAGCAAGACTCTGTCTCAAAAAAAAAAAAAAAAAAAAAGTGGCAAAGGACATGAACAGAACAGACACTTTTCAGAAAAAGACATACATGTGGGCAACAATCCTATTAAAAAATGCTCAACATCACTGATCATTAACGAAATGCAAATCAAAACCACCATGAGATACCATCTCACACCAGTCAGTGTTTTATTTATTTATTAAAAAGTAAAACAATAATGTGTTGGTGAGGTTGCAGAGAAAGAGGACACTTATAAACTGTCGGTGGAAGTGTAAATTATTTCAACCATCGTGGAGAACAGTGTGGTGATTCCTCTGATACCTAAAAACAGAACTATCATTCAACCCAGCAATCCTATTACTGGGTGTACATCCAAAGGAATAAAAATCATTCTTTTATAACGACATACGCATGTATATGTTCATTGCAGCACTTTCTACAGTAACAAAGACATGGAATCACCCTAAATGTCCATCAATGGTAGACTGAATAAAGAAAATGTGATGTATATACATCATAGAATATGCTGCCATAACAAAGATAGATTATGTCCTTTGAAGCAATATGATTGAAGCTATAGGCCATTATGCTTAGCAAACTAACACAGGAAAAGAAAACCAAATACTCATGGTCTCACTTATAAGTGGGAGCTAAAAGATGAGGACACATGGACACATAGAGGAGAACAACACACAGTGGGTACTTTCAGAGGGTAGAGGGTGGGAGGAGGGAGAGGATCTGGAAAAAAAAGTAATGGCTACGAGGCTTAATAAATGGGTGATGAAATAATCTGCACAACAAATCCTGATGGCCCAAGTGTATCTATGTAACAAACCTGCCTGCACATGTACCTCTGAAATTTATATATATATACTTTATATATATATTTAATATATATATTATATATTTTATATATAATATATATTATATATATTATATATTTTATATATAATATATATTATATATATTATATATATTATATATATTTTATATATATATAATATATATATTATATATATTTTATATATATATTATATATATATATATGATGATCAGTCTTACTAGCCACATTTTCTTTTTTTTTTTTCCTCTTTTTTTGAGAGAGGGTCTCTCTTTCTCTCTGTTGCCCAGGCTGGATTGCAGTGGTGCCTCCACTCAGTGCATCCTTGACCTCCTGGGCTCAAAGGAACCTCCCACCTCAATCTCCTGAGTAGCTGAGACCACAGGCACACATCACAACACCTGGCTAGTTTTTATTATTATTATTATTTTAAATTTTTTTGTAGAGATGAGGTCTCACTATGATGCCCAGGCTGGTCTCGAACTCCTGGGCTCAAGCAGTCCTCCCATCTTGGTCTCCCGGAGTGCTGGGAATATAGGCATTTGTCACGGCACCCAGCCTCACTAACTGTGTTCCTAACACTCAATAGTCCCGTGTGTCTAGAGACTACCACACTGGAAAATAAAAATTTAGAACATTTTCATAAAGGTGAAGAAGTTTATTGTATGACACGTACTAGTCCATGGACTAGTGCACCATGGAACCCCAGTAGACAAGTGAAGGCACATGTAGGTAGGAATTAATCCACCTTTCTTATCTAGAGAGATAATCAATAAGCCCGATGGTTTTGATAGGATTTTATTGACTCATCCGTTTCACTTATATCATATGTTTTAATTTCCAAGACTCACTAAATTCCAGAAGTTAACAAATGACTATGCCAATTGTGAGACTTATTGGAAGAAGATGTGATAATTTATAAAAGCAAAAATAGCATAAGAAAAAGTGATTATAGTTTTTTAAATTGAAAACAAAAGTATTCACTAAAAATGTAGAAGAGATACACTACTTCTATATTAAATACATATTTTTAGATCAGTCCATAAAATGAGTTTGACAGTCAATCTTAAGGTATAATTTAAAATAAAATTCACAGAAAAGAACAATTCAGGTTTAACCAAATAAATTGGGATGATTAATTAAACTAATTATTGGCATGACTTAAGTAATCAAACTCTTGTTTTTCTCAGAGGGTTATTTGAAATATTTCTTGAAATTAAATTTCTGCTGAATAATTTTTGCTTTGAAAAAAATACTTTTTTTTTCAAATAGTAATGTGGTGATGTCTCTAGTTGTATCACTTCAGGCATCAACATTTTAATTTGTACAAACTGGGATTTCGTTTCTGTCTTGCTTGTCGATTCTTTGAAATATTCATTATATTTATTTATATTTACAAGACGGAAATTGTTTCTTGGCTATACCACTGACCTTTCTCTTCTCTAGAGTCATGAATATTTTCACTGGAGGCGGGCGGTTCACGAAGTCAAGAGATCGAAAGCATCCTGACCAACATGGTGAAACCCTGCTTCTACTAAAAATACAAAAATTAGCTGGGCATTGTGGCGTGCACCTCTAGTCCCAGATACTCAGGAGGCTGATGCAGGAGAATTGTTGGAGACTGCAGTGAGCCGAGATCGAGCCACTGCACTCCAGCCTGGCAACAGAGCAAGACTCTGTTGAAAAAAAAAAAAAAAGCACACAAAACTCCACTTCCTTTGTAGAAATGTAAGAGTATCAGCTTTATAAACATGCCATTTCTGATTTCTAGTGTGTTTTATTAAAGTTCCCACTGAAGTCAAAGACAAGCATTCTCCCAGTGTTGACTGAATCTGAATTCTTGTAAAATTGTGACTACTTTTCTTTCTACAAAGCTGGAAATATATATTTAGATATTTAAAAAATAAATGCTTATTAAGTAGAATCATTACATTAAAAATTTTATCATATATGTTAAAAGTAACTCTATGCACTAAATGATGATTAAATATGTACAAATGAATATTAATTTGTCTCTCTTCAACTTTATGAAAAATCTTCAAAATGATGATCAATGACTTATAGTTAACAAATAGTACAAGATCTAAACTTTCAGTATAATTGTATTTATATGTTAAATATCTTTCACAGTTAAAATGAATGCATGAAGCACCCCAAAAGAAAGCTACCAAAAAGAGATACCAGTGACCCATAAATATACAAAAGCATATCCAACTTACCAATTTTCAGCAACCAATTTAGAGGGATAAAAAAGGATGATACTATAAGTGTAAGTATAGATTGATTTATGAAAGAATATTTGACAAAAAATTCAAAACAAATTTAATGCCAAAACTTTTGACCAAGGCATACCGTATGTATGTATTCTATGAAAAAAAGGGAAAATCACAGAAATACTTGTTTTAGAATATTTATTATATGATTGTTTATGATGGAGAAAAAAAGTAATGAGCTGTAATTTGCTACTTTAAGGGTCTGAATTATATAAATAGATAAAATTTTTTTTACACATGACTTTTATAGAGCCACAAAATTATGTTATGAACCTAAAACTCTTCTAAAAAGTAAAGTCTCTTTAAGTAATATTCTTATATATATTTATAAATCTGTAGATATTCTTACAATATATTATTAGGTAATTAAATCTAATTATGAAAATTGTCATGATGCCAACAATATGAAATGGTAAATAGTTAAATAGAGAGGTAAAAGAGATTGTCATGGGCCAGGCGCAGTGGCTCATGCCTGTAATCCCAGCACTTTGGGAGGCCGAGGCGGGAAGATCATGAGGTCAGGAGTTTGAGACCAGCCTGGCCACCATGGTGAAATCCCGTCTCTACTAAAAATACAAAAATTAGCCATGCATGGCGGTGGGCCCCTATAATCCCAGCTACTCGGGAGGCTGAGGCAGGGTAATCGCTTGAACCTGGGAGGCAGAAGTTGCAATGAGCCAAGATCGTGCCATTGCACTCCAGCCTGGGCAACAAGAGCAAAGCTCCCTCTCAAAAACAAAAACAAACAAAAAAGATTGTCATGATGTAATAGTAAAGTACTTTATGGCATGCTGTAAGTGCTTTGAGTTGTCTCATTTAATCATTACTGTTCTTTGCGTAGTGCGATTAATTACTGTTCTTCATGTAGTGCTATAAGTGCTTTTATATTTCCAAGACAGAGATTACTTTTTGGCTATACCACTGTCCTTTTTCTCCTTTCATTTCATTCTGTAAAACCCGCTTGAGTATTTCTTTCAAGACAGGTCTAGTAGTAATGAACTGCTTCAGCTTTTGTTTATCTGAGAAAGTCGTAATCTCTACCTTACTTTCAAATGATGATTTTGTTGAACGTAGGATATTCTTGATTGATGGTTTTATTATTTGCGCTTCGAACATGTTGGCCCACTACCTTCTGGCCTCCAAAGTTTCTGGTAAAAAAATTTGCTTATAATATTTTAAAGGATTTCTTGTATGTGACATGTCACTTCTCTCTTGCTGCCTTCAAGAATGTCTTTGTCTTTCAGAAGTTTGATTATAATGTGACTCGGTGTGTGTCTCTTTGAGTTCATGTTAGTTGTCATATGTTGCGTCTCTTGGATGTTTTTATTAATGTCTTTCATCAAATCTAGGAAGTTTTCAGTGTTTACATTTTCAGATAGTCTCTCTGTGCCTTTCTTTTTTCTATCTTCTCCTCCTAAGCAATTCCACAATCCATATGTTAGTCAGCTTGATGGTGTCCCATAGGTTCTTTAGGATCTGTTCGATTTTCTTCAAATTGTTTTTTTCATTCTGCTCCTCAGGCTCAATAATTTCCACTGACCTATCATAAAGTTCTGTATTTTGCTTTCTCAAATTTGCCTTTGAATTTGTCTAATTTTTCCTTGTAGTTACTGTACTTTTCAGATGCAAAATTTCCTTTCTTTTAGGTTTTTTCCTCTTTATTATTATGTCTGTTTTGTTCATATATTATTTTCTTAACTTTCTAAACATGTTTCTTTAGTACTTTGAGCATCTTTTGAAAGACTGCTTTAAAATCTTTGCCTAATAGATATGCCAGCAGGTCCTTTTCATGAACAGTTCTTGTCAGTTTATTTATTTATTTATTTTTCTTTTGAATGGGCAGTACATTTCTTCTTCTTTGTCAGTCTTATTATTTCTTTTGTTGAAGATTAGAAACATAAATCTGATCATTTGTAATTCTGGAAATCAGATTCTTCCATTACCCAGGGTAGGGTTTTTTTGGTTATGACTTTTGTTTACTGTTTTTGTTTTTTGATTGTTGTGAGCTGTGTCTGTGCCAAGCATCAGCTTGAAGTGTAAACTTAAGGCTTAAGGTCTTCCCAGTTCTTTTGAGCCTTGTGTTTCCCTGGGCACGTGTGGTCATTTCTAATTTTCCCTATATATAAACTTACTTTTTCTTTTCTTTTTTTTTTTTTTTTCGGCCGAGTCTCACTTTGATGCCCAGGCTGGAGTGCAATGGCGCGACCTCGGCTCACTGCAACCTCCGCCTCCCAGGTGTAAGCAATTCTCCTGCCTCAGCCTCCCGAGTACCTGAGATTACAGGCACCGCCACCACGCCAGGCTAATTTTTATATTTTTAGTAGAGACGGGGTTTCACCGTGTTAGCCAGGATGGTCTTGACCTCCTGACCTCGTGATCCACCCGCCTCGGCCTCCCAAAGTGCTGGGATTACAGGTGGGAGCCACTGCGCCCGGCCCATATTCTAGCTTTTAATGTCTGGCTCTCAAAATGAGAAAGAAAGAAAATTGAAGAGTAGGGAAAAAAGAATACAATCCCTTTAAATCTTCTGGAAGTCACTTCAGCTGGAGAAGGAGGCTTGTAACAATGGGACAGGTACAGCAACAATGGCTGCTCACCTCTTTGTACCTCTGTGATTAGAAGCAACAATCAGTAATCAGAACGCAAACCCTGAATGTTTGACATTTAGAGCCCTTTTTTGCCCACTCTGGCTGTGTGCTCCAGAAACATGTGTAGAGCTACCTGCCACAGGGCTGGAAGTGGGAAATGGGTAGCTACTACTGTGTGGAGACCTGAAATTGACAATAGTTCATTGTAATTTAACCTTCAGGCCATTTCCTGGAAGTTGGAAGCATTAGATAAATGCCTTCTATGACAAAAAAGTAACTTCTGCTGTCATTTGTCTATCTCAGTCATCTGTAACTATCTATCCATGTGTAGCAAGAGAGATGTTTTCACTTGACAATATGTTTTGGAAAGCACTCCGTATCACTACATAGATATATTTTCAATTTCCTTTCATGTGTGTATAGTAACTCATTTATAAAATGTGTTATTATTTCAATCAATTCCTTAATGAATATTTGAATTATTTCTAATATTTGCTATTACTAATAATGACACTAATAATGAAGAAATTTTGTGCATTTCAGTTAGTAGTTTTGCCTGAGTATGTTTAGATTCCTATAAACAAGTCAAGGAGTAAGTGGATATGTGATTTGCTAAACAGTGTCGAATTTGCCTTCAAAAAATTTGCACAATTTTATATTACTGCCAATAGTATGTCATTTCTGTAAACATTTAAAAACCATTTTCTACTTAAGTTTTTGGTTTTTTATATTATGATAGATGACAAATAGTCTTATCGTAGTGTTACGTATCTCCTTAAGAGTGAGATTAAGCACTTCTTTATATGTTCAGGGATGTTTGCATTTCTTTTCCTATATATTGAATTTATATATTTTTACCTATCATATCGTTGGTATATATCTTTTTTTATTTTGTAGGAGCTCTTTCTATATTAGGGACATTAACATTTGTTTGTCATATAAGATTATTATAGTTTTCCTTTTTAGGATGATTTTGTCAATTATTTTATCTGCTATAATTTCTGATTTGCAAAGTTGCTGCAAGTTATTACGCACAGATAATAATTCTCATATTTTTATGGGACTTTTAGAGAGCATGAAGTAGCTCTTTTTCTCTTATTTTTGGCATAAATTCTGTTTTTTTAGATATGAAGATTATGGCTTATTTTTCTTTTATTTGCATTTGTCAAGTTTATCATTCCCAATGTTTCTCTAAAATTTACTTATTTACTGTTTTTCATTTTAAAAAATAGATGTATGTCTCACTATGTTGCCCAGGGTAGTCTAGACCTTCTGGCCTCAAGAAATCCTGCCTCAGCACCCCAAGGTATGCGTATTATAGGCATGAAACACTGTGCTCAGCCGTGCTTTTTTTTTTTATTTTTAAACACCCAAAATAATTTAGTTTGATTTTTTATCTTTTTATTTTTGCTGAATTTTACATTGTTAACAAATCTTAAAAATTTGTATTTTAAAGGGAGAATTTGACGTATTTATATGGATAAGATAGATATTTGATCTCAATTTTGTTATAATGTTTAATTCCACTACATATGCAAAAAATTACTATGAGATTTATTTCTTTATCATTTTTATTTTGTTTTGGTATATTTTTGGAATTTAGTAAGTAAGATTTCTTGGCTGCTTAAAATCAGAGTAAATATGATTAGCAAACAACCTTTCATTCTATTTACCTTCTCTCACTCTATTAAAATATTATCACTAATATTATTTTAATTAGGGTATTTTCTTTGTTCTGTTTAGTGTGGTAAGTATAATTGAACTATTTAATTTTTTGGCATGAAATGAATTTTTTTTGCATCTATCTGACATACACCCTGCCTTTTTTTTCAAATATCTGTCAGTTCTATACTCTTACACTGTCAGATCATTTGTATTTACATAATATCCTATTGCAGTTATCTCTATTTTTAATCTTAATTTTGTATTTATATATATTCAATGTGCACAAATGACCTGTTGCAAAATCTTCAATATCTTGTTTGTTTGAAGTTCTTTCTTTGTTCCTCAGGAACACTGCCTGAATACATTAATACAAGAGGATTTTGTTGTTGTTTTGTTTTGTTTTAGATGCTTTTAGTCTTTATTTATTTTATGTACTAAAATTTCTTTTAATTGGATAGAGAAAAATACTTGATTCATATTTTCTTTCTGTTTGTAACCAATATCTTTGGTATGCAATGTTACTCTCCAGAGTTTTGATGACAGCCTGATTTTTTTTTAATATAAGAAAATTGGTATTCATGCCTAGGTTCTCAGAAATCTTTTTCTTTGTGAAGTCTAATAGTGTTGCTATGATAGTTCTCAGTGTCAATAATTCTTATTCAGTTTTTCCATGTAAATAGTATGCCCTATCAGTGAGAATATTTCTGAAATAAGATTCTTTTGACATAGGTCTATATATTTTTTAAGTTATTTTTTGATTTTGGGGGGAAGATGGAGTACTTTTGTGGGAGCTCAAATTAAACATGTGCTGAATAACTTTATCTTCTGCTTATATCATTTTCTCTTGAAGTATTTTAATGCTTTTCTCTATATCTTGAACTTTTCAATATTTTTCTATTCTAGTCTCTATTTTTCTTACAGGGCTTTATGAAGTCTATATTTGCTCTGTGTTAATTCTAATTTAGCTTTCATTTCTGTATTTATTTTTTGTTTCACCTACTTGCTTTGTCTAGTTATCAAGAAGAAATTTGGAAGATTTAAAATTATGCCATGGTTGTTATCTTCTTGGAACTGAACGTCTGGATTGCATGATAAAATATCTATTTTTTTAAAAAACTAGTCTAATTTGTAAGAATACAATTTGGGTCTTTTAAAATCACTTTTGTGTGTGTGTGATATTATTATAAACCAGAATTATCTTTTGACTTACAGGAAAACTAAAAATACATGGACCTAAAATGTATTTCCAATTCCCCTAATTTTTATAGCAAAATAAGGAGTCACCCCAACAATGTGATGAGATAGACAATTATTAAAAATTTTTAGATTCTCATTAAAGAAAAAAAATGATGCTTTTTTTTTTTTTTTTTGAGATGGAGTCTCACTTTGTTGCCCACGCTGGAGTGCAGTGGTGAGATCTCACTTCACCGCAACCTCAGCCTTTCATGTTCACAGCAATTCTTGTGCCTCAGCCTCCCGAGTAGCTGGGATAAAAGGAGTGAGCCACCTCGGCCAGCTAATTTTGTACTTTCAGTAGAGACAGGGTTTCATCATGTTGGCCCGGCTAGTCTCTAACTCCTGACCTCTGGTGATAGGCCCGACTGGGCCTCCCAGCGTGCTGGGATTACAGGCGTGAGCCACCGCACCCTGTCACAAAAGCAATTTTCAGGTAGAACTAGGAACTCCCTCTCCTAGATTTTCTTCTTTTGATTCTGCACATTTCCTCAATTCTTTCCTTTCCAGATAAATTAATATTAGCTAACTTAAATTGCCATGGACCATGAAAATACATACTTTCTTCCCACCCCTTCCCGCACCCCGCAAGTGGTAACTACCTTCCCTAATTTACTAAGGATAATGAAGTCACATTTACTAAGGATAATGAAATCAGCATATTCTCAGCATATGTAATGAACAGAGTCTCAATCTTCTGGCCTTTAAAATCTGCCTATTTTAGTCGGCAAATAGCAAAACATTCAAGTACTAAATTTTCAGTTTGTTTCTAATGGCAATATACTTATATACTTAGAATTTACTTTGATGAAGTTTTTAGAGAATTGAAGTATCATTTTGTCATGAAGGAAAAATATGATTCAGCATCGGTAAAACTATTTTTCCACAATCCCTCTATAACTGACAATATTCCAGACAGAGACAGATTTAGATAATTTGAGACAGGTGCAACAGTATGCGTATAATAAATCTGTTCTATACAGACAATGATGTGGATCAGATGGGCCAGGTGTCAAGAACATAACAGCCAGACAGGTTTGGAACAGAAGACAGGTTTGGAGCTGATACTCTTTGAACAGGTGCAGGATATCTACAAATATAAAAAATATCCATCTATTGAATGGAACATGTCCAGTTGGAATCAGTACTGATTCGTAACAGATGAAACTCCAGCAAACACCTGTTAGGCTTTTAGAAGAGAAAATATGTTGGTGGTGTTAACTAGGTTGTCAAATAATTATAAAAAGCTATTATAAGACAACTGAAATTTAATTTTAATTTTCCTTTAATGCATCACCATACTGAACTACTTCCCCTAGAGATACGGGTGATATGAACTTGCCATCAGCAAAGCAACTTCTCCACAGGAGACACTGGAGGACATCATTTAACATAAATTGGAACGTCACATTTATGGGCAATACCATAAATTGCTTCACCAAATACAACTGAATTGGCTGACTTAACCACATTCTTATAATTGCTATTCAATTCAATGATAGAATTGATTTATCTGGTAATGTATTAGCTCACAGAAGGTTGCAAATTGGATGTCAGATTTTCATTTTAAATCAAATGTGTTGTTTGTTTATGATCAAATAACTTGTCAACACAACCAAAATAAATAAAGACAAAAACAAAATAAACAACTAAAATAACTCACACACATATAGAGATATCAGTCTGAGGTTATTATATGTCAGTTCTTGTCTAAAAATTGGAACAAAAGTATGGTTATGCTTGAAAGTACTCTAAAATATTTCCAGTTGTAGAAATTGGTATTTAATTTGAAGATAAAAATAAATGCTTTATATTTATCATTATATATTGTAATGCCTCAGCGTTACATGCATATGATTTACAAAAGAAAATATATAATAGCTACCAATAAAAAACCCTTAATATTGTGTATAATTCACTTGAAAGATGAAAAATCAAGCTTCCCCCTAAAAAATTATATGACAAGTACATATGCAAATGTGTCTGAAATGATACTAATTCATTTCCAAATAATTTAATTTAAATTTTGAAAACATTTTGAGGATGTTATAACAGCAATATAGATGAATTTGGAATCTTTATTCTAAAACTGAAATTGAGACCATAACCTTTTCAGAGCAATATCAAATATTTATATTTAAAAATACTTACCAGGTAAAAGTGTGCCCACACCTAAAATGCACAAAGTGATTAAATATGCACACACTTGTCATTCATGTCAGTTTGTAATAGATGTCTAAAATATCATTTCTTTAGCATACACAGTCTTCAAATCTCTGAAAAAAAAGTGAATCACAAGGCCAACCAATTTAAGTGAGTATAATTCTTGCAAACAATTAAGAGTACATCTACCAAAGCAGTGTTTAGCATCTGAGTTATCTCTGCTGTCATTTCTTTTCCTTAAGTTAATTATTTTATAAGTTAGAAAATGAATATCAGAAACTTTACATGAAGACAGTCATAGAAATTTAGCATAGGCCTAGGTTAAGTAGCCAAAACATCTCATCACAGTCCATTGCTATTAGAAGGTCCAGAATGGAACCCAAGTACAACATAATAAATTAGCAACTATATATAGGCATAAAATTGGTGCTATTTGTAGTGTCCTATCTGCACACACTTTCAAATGTATAATTTATTTTTAATATGCTTAAAAATATATGCATTTTTGAAGGAAGCATATAATAATCCCTAATAAATACACTGAATGTTCTTTGAGATCTATGGCGTTCCTTTATTTTAAATCTTCACTTCTTTGTATTAATGTGCTTACCACCAAACTATTGTCTCAAGTTACTTTAAAAAAAATCATTTAGCCTGTTATATTTATTACTTTAATTAATATTCAAATACTAATTTTTAAAACGTTTTCAACTTTAAACTCCAGTAATCTCTGAATATGATTAAATGGCAAAAGACTATGATCAGTGCCACACGTGAGATGGTTACAGTATCTAATACTTGCCTAAATTTTTGAAAGTAAATCCAGCACAGCAGATGCAAATGACACAGTGACTATATCAAAATCCTTTCTCAAGCTATGATTCTTTCCTGTGTTCAAAGGTCCTTTCTATTTTGAATGTTTAGCCTCTGCTTGGCCGAAGAATCTAGCAAGTGGCTCTCCCTCTCTCCTCAAGGTTGGGTCACAACTGGTCTTAGCTAGGCAGAGTGATGTCATTCTTCTTAGAATGACTGTTTTAACAGAGACATGTATTTTTTTCCAGCCAGTGGGATATGAAATAAATTCTGTGGGAGTCATGAATAAGGTTTGTCTTCCTTATAAAAGGAAGCACTTGGGAGTAATTGCCTGTCTTCTTTGCTGTGTCACATAACTGCATGTGATACCTAGAATTACTGCAGCAGTCATCTAACTGTAGAGAAGGGTGGAGGAGAGAAATTATTAACACCTGTGATAATGACAGAAGTAGGAGATTAAAAGCACCTGGATCCCCATGATATCTATCATTCAACCAGCGGCTCTCAAGTTCTGGAGACTCAGGAATTCTTTACAGTCTTAAAAATTACTGAGGATTCCAAAGAGCTTCTGTTTATGTGGATTATATCTGTCAATATTTGCTGTATTAGAATTTTTTTAAGAAGAAAATAAAACATACTGTATATTAATTCATTTGATATCAATATATTTATTACGTGCTATCATGAATAACATGTTTTTTTATGAGTGATAACTGTATTTTTTCAAAGTAAGATAATTGTGGCCAGGCAGGGTGGCTCACACCTGTAATCCCAGCACTTTGGGAGGCCGAGGCGGGTGGATCACTGAGGTCAGGAGTTCGAGACCATCCTGCCAACATGGTAAAACCTCATCTCTAGTAAAAAAAAGAAAATAATAAAAAAAATAGCTTTGCATAGTGGCACGTGCCTAATAGTTCCAGCTACTCGTGAGGTTGAAGCAGGTGAATCGCTTGAACTCAGGAGGTGGAGGTTGCAGTGAGCCTAGATCATGCCACTGTACTCCAGCCTGAGTGATAGAATGAGACTCCATCTCAAAAATAAAATAAAATAAAATAAAATAAAATAAAATAAAATAAAGATAACTGTGTGAGAGAAGCATAACTTTATATTGTGTTCTAATCTCTTTAATATTTGGCTTAATAGCAGAGGGTGGATTCTTATATCATTTTTTTGCATTCAGTCCATTTGTGATATCACACATAATGTAGCTCCTAGAAAATGTCACTGTACACTCATGAGAGAAATGGGCAAATAATATCTGAGTATTATCAGGAAAATATTTCAGATCCACATTATGAGAACTGCCTTATCAGTTCACCCTGAATTAAACACTCTCTAATTATTGTTTTGTGAAATAACATAACTTTTATTACTGAGAGCCCCTTAAATTGATTTTCTGTTGTTTATGGCTAACACAATTTTAAGTAAAACAACAGCCAAAAATATTCCAGTCATGAGTCACAGATTTTTTTCTTAATCTCAAAAAATACTTACTAAGTCTAGAAGTTATTCTCTGTGCTTACTTTCACCTGTGTGCTGTTTAACTGGTTCTAAAAGTTGCTGACTCTCTAGGCAAGGAGGGCCATTGGATTAAAAATATAGTATAAAATAATTCCTTTGTATTACTAACATATTTGTCATTATTTATTTATTTATTTATTTACATTTTTTTGATATGGAGTCTCTCTCTGTCACCCAGGCTGGAGTGCAGTGGCGAGATCTCTGCTCACTGCAACCTCCGCCTCCCGGGTTCAAGCGATTCTCTTGCCTCAGCCTCCCAAGCAGCTGGGATTACAGACGCCCACCACCACGCCCAGCTAATTTTTGTATTTTTAGTAGAGACAGGGTTTCATCATGTTAGCCAGGATGGTCTTGATCTCCTGACCTCATGATCCTCCCGCCTCGGCCTCCCAAACTGCTGGAATTACAGCCGTCAGCCACTGCAACCAGACTAAATTATTTATTATTAAGAGGTGTTTATTACAACATCTATTAGCTCCTGAGGAGGAAAATTAAAATTGTCACGTAGAAAAGAATAAAAAAGTATTTAATTATAATATCTGACTCATATGCATATTTATACATATATGTATAAGAATTCGATAATAATTATTTAAAAATTATTTAAATTATTACATAATATAATGTTGCACATATAATTTGGTTATAATATATTTATATTGCTCAGTTAAAGAAAAGTAAAACTATGTAGCTAGAGGTAAGTTCAGTGTCAACAAAACTCTAATAAAAACCAAATAAATGTTTTCAAATTTTAAAATAGAATATGTAAAAATAGCAGGAGTTAAAAAATTGTTTGTGTGTAAAGGAACTCACTCAAAGATTCTAATCTTGATTTTATCTTTTTTTTTTTGTAATTGCTACAAAAATGCTAAGTTAAGACAGCAAAGGCTGTAGAAAACATGATTTGAAGTCGAAGAGGTGATATTATACGTGTTTTGTAGGTGAGGTTTCCTAGCCACAAAGTCAGAATGGTTATATTGCAACTGTAAATCTGAGTTTTTAAATATTTATTATTAAATAATGAATTAAAATTATATATGTGTTATATATTTACAGAAAATTATATACTGGAACTGGAATTTAATTTATTGAAATGGAGAACACTCAAAGAGCAAGCACCTTAATTTGACAATTTGTGGAGTGGAAAATTGATTACATTACAATTTGAAGTTCAATAACTTTTCGCTAGACAAAATTATGGTTAGAACAGAAAAATGAATATTTGCATATTAGAGACAGAAATAAATTTGTGATGATCAGTATTTAAATTGATTTGATAATTTAAAACATTTTAGATAAATCAGAAACAAAATATTGCTTGAGTATCATTTTGAAACTATCTTTTCTGGAAGTAAAAATAATAATTTATTATTTAAAACAACATGGAAAATTAGCCTTAGAAACATGTCTTTAATTTTGAAGCCATAGGATGTAATATTCAATTACATTTATCACTACATATTTCAAGCTAATTCTGAATTCATTTGAACTACTTTGAAATATGAGCTGAGTGTTGTCTGTATTATTGTTGTCTAATTCAACACTGAATTAGTGTTGTCTGTATTTCCCAAATTCGACATGCAGCGAAAGTAAACAAATCAAGAAAAAGTATTAGCAGCTGCAGGGCGTATTAACTTAGTTTATCATGAACGCTTACAACTCAGAAAATTATGAAAATGTTTTACAAGTGACCAAAATAATGTGAACTAAAAACATATTTTAAAACTTAATTTATTTTCTAGTAATATTCTAGAATTAAATATTTGAAGAAAGACATTAGTGGAAAATCAATTTAAATATTAATGAAATGAAGTTTTACAATGCTTTGAAACTTGGTCTATTGTAAAATTATTTCTTTATAGAACTAATGGATTTTTAAAACTTAACACCATTGTTATATTGTCTCTTCATATCTTGCCCTTGTTTTCTGAGTTAAACCTACACCAGAGTTGCCAAGTTTTTGCTTCTGCCATCTGCATTGAAACTGTCATTCAGTTGCCAGGTTTGGTGACTGCTTCATTGTTTTGGCCAAGCAGTATATTCTGCCTCTTTGGAATGCTTTCAGTGGGGGTACAGGTTATTTGATTTCACTTAACAGTAAATCTTTCTCTTTTTGTGTATCTTCCCCAAAAATCTATAACCCCAGTCGAATCTAAATTTTTAATGAGAAAAAAAATTAGAAAAACCCCAATTGGTAGATGTTCTACAAAATATATGACCAACATTCTTCAACAGTGCCGAGGGCATGACAAACCAGAAAGGATCAGGCAACTACCAAAGATTTGAAGGACACTAAGGAGACATTATTACTAAATGCAATGTGGTATAAACTGTGTCTTGGAGTAAAAGTAAGACAATAGTGGAAAACTTGGTGGAATAAGTAGTTTAGTTAATAATAGGATTGTATTACTATTAAATTCTCAGTATTGATGAATATACCATGATTATGGTTAGAGGAAGATGAGTGTAAGGTATATAGGAGTTCTTTGCTATCATTGCAACTCTTCTGTAAATCTATAACTTTTTTTTTTTTTTTGAGACACGGTCTTGCTCTGTTGCTCAGGCTGGAGCACAACAGTGTCATCACAGCTCACTGTAACCTCAAACTCCTGGTTTCATGCAATCCTCCCACCTTGGCCTATTTTAAAACTATTTTAAATAAAAAGTATAAAAAGGTAAGTGAAAATATAATAAAAATTGTCAAACCTTTGAGACTTTCTCAAGGAATTTATGTTATCTAACTATGGATGGGACCAGTAGTGGGAGTGGGAGTGGTGAAAAACAAGACAGACATTCTTGATGTGTGGCTTTGGGAGTGTCAAAAGTTTCTTAGCCAAAAGTTATTTATTTATCTAGTAAAAAATAAAGTATAGGTCTTCAATTAGTTTGATAACTCTATGTTAGCAACTATTTTGGCAGGAGGATGGGTCAGGATTTATGTTTAGCATGAGTAAAATGCTGGGGAATATGATAGTCAAGTTTATTATCTTTATAAAACTTACATTCTAGTGAGGGAAAGAGAAAAAAGAACAATTAATAAGAACATTGCAGAACTATATAAATGCCAAGAAGGAAGTAAACATGGACTCTTCAAAGGCAATATGACAGAAATTCCTGGGCCCTAAATCTAGACCCTGCAGTCTTATAGGGTAAACTGATTTTGCTTAAACAACAATAGTATAGAGATCTGTGATATTTGTAAGAGTGTGCAGGATGCAGAAAATATTTTCCCCAGATAACATGTTGTGAGAGTGATGGTCATTGTATTTGTTTGGATTTTAATAGGTCCATAGGATTTAAGGAGGATATAAAAGCAAGAAATTCTGAGCCAGCAAAGCATTTAGATGGAATATAAAAAAATTGAAGAGAAGCAATGGAAGGTTTTCTGGGTCCTCTGCAAATCTGACCCAAAACTTTATATAGTTATTGATCAACCAATATTAAACAAATACATGACAAAGTATAAAGCTATAAATTTGGGAAATACAGAAGTCTTTAAAAGCTAAACTAAGGAATTGTGATTTTATTTATGTGTCACATTAGAATAAAGGCAAATTTGAGTTATCGGGTAGTTTCAAAAGATCAAATTGATAGCATGGTTTCAAAAAAGAATGGCGGCAGAAAGTTAAATTTGGATGTAACAATAAATAATATGTACTTTATGTTTATTTGCCAACCTAGAATATAAGTGTAAATTATTGTATATATATAATATGCTCTATTATCCCTGTTTTGTAGATAATAATTGCTGTATTTTTCCAAATATTAGAAAAATAAATCCCATTATGGTTAAAGAATTTCCCCAGTATCAAAATTTATTAAGTGGTAGAGTAGAGATTCAAACCTAAGGATCAAAGAGTTTGAATTCTTAAACCAAGATGCACCGTAATGGGAGAATATGTTTGATCCAAGGTGGTGACCATGGGAATGGAAGGAAGCGTAGATTAAAATAGTGTTATGAATAGAATCAATAGAATGTGGTTATTTCACGAGGGTTGGAATAAGAGGAGTAATTGATGACACCAATGTTTCAGTCCTCTAGGGGAGTGGAAAAGGGATTTACTAAACAAAGGATGGTTCTTTTTTGTGAGAATAACAGATGAGATCATGCCAGCAGAGGCTGAATTAGTAGGGTAAGTTTTGTTAATAAGTATGTATGTTAGATCTCTGTAAGTCAGGAAATGGGTACAGATGAATATGTGTAGACATTAGTTCGTGAGTTTTGTAACCTCATCTCTCATTTGTAAAGTTAACGTTTTGGAAGAAAAAAAGCAAATGTGTACAATACTATCTCTACAAAAATACAAAAGGAATATTAAAAATTAATTTAATTTATAAGGAGTTTCCATTGAAGGCTTTTTGAAGTAAGTGATAAGTGAAGTTTCAGATCTGTTATTAGTTATTTTCATGAAAGATTCTTGTATTTTTGAATTATTTTAAAATAATTATGAATATTTTATGTATTTTCATTTTTATTAATATACATTATAATTCTTCATCTTTTCTTTGTCTCTCATTCTTTCTTTTGCCATATAAAACATCCCTAAACAACATTGTTTTTAACTCTATTTGCTTCATATAAATAGAAAATGAGATCTAATTGGTTATGGTATCCACTAGCACCTGGATAAAAGAAACCTTAGAGAAAAAACAAATTTATTTCTTTCTTTGTCAGCCATTTCATTTAACAGTGGTAAATCATTATTTTAATGCATAGGTAGAGCCACTCAATTTGAATCTAAGAAGTTCTTTTCATCTATCTTAGAGTAAGATTTAGCTGCTTTCTAACCATTAAGTATATTTCCCTGCTGTTTGATGATGCGATTCTCAGAGAGCAGGATCAATGGTGTTTTAACGTTCCAGGTATAGAAAGGGTTTACTGCTCTTGACCAAGAGTCAGCAGGATGAGCAGGTAAGTCATGTCATTTTCTATACAAATCTTTTTCTTCAGGGTATCACACATATTTTCTTCCCTTGTCTCCAACGTTCTTGCAAAAGTCTTATAAAGGAATATCATGAATTAACTCATTTAATTCTTATAAAATTACAGGCAATATGAATTTCATTTTTCTGTCAAGTAGAGAAACATGATAAGTAACATGATAAGAAATCATGCCCAGATGTTTGCTTCCAAATTAATGTGAATGTCTTTTCTCTTTGCTGTGCCTCATGTTGTGGTGGCTCTGTTATTGCCTCCTATGTGACATTGCAATGGGACTTTAGCAAGGTCTTTCCCAGAATGTTTGGAATTACCAGTTATTGCTTCTACACTTTATTTATGATATGTTGCTGTCATCCCCATTACAGAGTCTGTGAAGCTGGATTAAGGGACTATCCAAGTTGCAGCACCAAAACAAATATGTAATCCCACTGCCACTGGGATTCTGTCTGAGGTAGATCAGTCTCATCTTAGCTAATATGACATTGTTTTTGTTGTTGCCATTCCACTAAGATACAGTGAACTCTCAAAACATTTTTCTATGTTTACTGAGATTATCTCTAATTTATATTTCACATTATTTTGGACTCTTAAATTTCAAGTGTTTTCCCTAAGACCACAGCTACAACTGAGAAAAAGATGAGTGTTTGCCTATACACCTTGCAGTGACTACCCCAGCATGATTTACATCTCTTTCCTAGCGACATTTTTTTTTCCCTGATCTATCCTTAGGACATTTAGATCTACAGGAGCAATAATAAGGCATCTACGCCTTTAATTTATTTTATTTTCATTTTTATGGATACATAATAGTTGTACATATTTATGAAGTACATGTGATCTATTCATATATGTATGTGTAATGAATAAATCTGGATATTCGGTATATCCATCACCTCAAACATTTATCATTTCTTTGTGTTGGGAACATCCCAGATCTTCTCTTCCAGTTATTTTGAAATACACAATAAATTATTGTTAACTGTAGTTGCCCTATTTTGTTATTGAACACTAAATCTTATTCCTTCTCTCTAATTGCATTTTTTCCACCCATTAACTAACCCTTCTTTATTGCCACTCTCCACTACCCTTTCCAGGCTCTGAACACCACCATTCTATTTGTTACCTTCATGAACTCAATTATTTTAGATTCCACATGTAAGTGAGAACATGCAATATTTGTCTTTCTGTGTCTGGCTTATTTCACTTAACATAATGTCCTCCATTCCATCCATGCTGCTGCAAATGACAGGAATTCATTCTTTTTTATGGCTGAATAATATTTCATTGTGTGCATATACCACATTTTCTTTATCCATTTATCTGTTGAAGGACACTTAGGTTGATTCCATGTATTCGCTATTGTGGATAGTGCTGTAATAAACATGGAGGTGCAGATATCTCATTGATATACTGATTTCTTTTTTTGACTATATCTCCAGCAGTAGGATTTCTGGATCATATGGTAGTTCTATTTTTAGTTTTATGAGGAGTCTCCATATTGTTTTTTCATAGTGATTGTACTAATTTACATTCCCACTAACAGTGAAAGTGTGCTCGCCTTTCTCCACATCCTCGCCAGCATGCATTACTGCCTGACTTTTTAAAAATAACCTTTTTAATTGAGGTGAGATGATGTATCTTCGTGGTTTTGATGTGCATTTTCCTGATAATTGGTGATGTCAAGCATTTAAAATATATACCTATTTGTTATTCTATGTCTTCTTTTGAGAAATTGCTATTTCAGGGTAAAAAGAACCCCTCCTATCAGTCTCTTTAAATATTAAACAGCTTGGGACTTTGAGACCACTCTTCCGTGACATCTTAACCAGGGGAATCCTAACCAGGATTATGCAATGCAATCCTCAATTAATCTCTGACTCAATTAAAATGGCTGGATTAAAAGTGGAAAACTCCTAGGTGTGAAGACTAGATAGATAGATGATAGATAAATAGATAGATAGATAGATAGATAGATAGATAGATAGATAGATTTGAGTCCTCTGAGAGTGAGTTGGATTATCAAGTCATGAGATTCTGTTATAGATCTCTTTTCAGTCTAGGGAACAACTGAATGAAAAGAAACCAAAATACAAATAAAATTTTCTAAAATATGCAAATGGAAGTGTGATGAGAGACCCTCATTGAAGGTCAGAATATTCATCTAAATTATCTAGGATGTGAAGAGGCTATACACACCATTCTCTTCATATTGACAAACAGTGAAAAATTAAAATCTGCCCTTGAGTCTATTAGTTTTCTTTTTTTTTTTTTTTTTTTTTTTTTTTTTTTGAGACGGAGTCTCGCTCTGTCGCCCAAGCTGGAGTACAGCGGCGCGATTTAGGCTCACTGCAAGCTCCGCCTCCCGGGTTCATGCCATTCTCCTGTCTCAGCCTCCCAAGTAGCTGGGACTACAGGTGCCCGCCGCCATGCCCGGCTAATTTTTTTGTATTTTTAGTAGAGACCGGGTTTCCCCGTTTTAGCCAGGATGGTCTCAATCTCCTGACCTCGTGATCAGCCCGCTTCAGCCTCACAAAGTGCTGGGATTACAGGCGTGAGCCACCGCGCCCGGCCCATTAGGTTCTTTGAAAAGCTTCTGCAAATAGAGTATTGACACAATACTTATTGCTACAAACCCACGTCTAAAATATTCTTTACATATATATGTCTTATGTTTTAGCCAATTATGTGATATATCCCATAGCCATATTTATGTAAACTATTTCAATTATTTGAACCAATCAACTAATGCAAGACATACATATATATGTATCTACATCTATGTATAAATATACATGTGAATATGTATATTTATATATAAAAACCATGTTCCTAAAACTTAATGGATTCAAAGAGAGATTTATTGTAGGAAGCATCAGAAGTTCTTACTTCAAAGCAATGAAAAGCATAGGAATTTTTCAGGGAAATTTAAATGAGAGGATTTGAATGTTATTTCTGGTTCTTTATAACCCAGCAATGTTTGTATTAATGGTATTAAAAAAGAAAATAAAATGTATAGATAAGGCTTTGTAGGAGCATTTCCGTATTTATCAGTGACTGCATAAAGTTTAAAAAAAAGTAAACCCTACCACCGATTGCATTACTCTAATACACACATCATCATAATTGTAGTGAATATCTCCACTTATTTTATTATATATATAGGCTTATGCACCCATTGAAATCTCATCTATTATTTTTTCAGTGCTGTCTTTACACTGAGTTATATTAACATGTGGTCTTTATGTTTCCTAATTCCAGTATTCACCTGACCTCAATCAAAAAAGTGTTGACTACAAAAGGTTAAACATACATTTTATCATATATATATAAATTATATATATAATTTATATATATATATATAATACTCCCAGAAACATGCCCTCTACATTTAGAAACATTGGTTATTTTCTCATTATTTTAGGAAAACAGGCACATATGTAATGATAAATATCTTACTTTTATCACTTATATTATGGTGAAGGCACAGTGTAGAAATTCTGATACCCATATGACATTTAGTTCTAAGGAATAGCCATATACTATTTCATAATCTTGAAATATTTATGCAACTTTTCTCCTAATGCTTCCGTATTGAAGCACTTTCACTTTCTTTCTGTTTTTATTTCATTTTTTGCCTTTGCTACTACAAACAATGGTACATAAAACATTCTAAAGAATAAATTACTTAGAACAGAGCTTTCTAATATGATATTCTTTTATTTTTTGTGATATAGAGTGCCAGGAATTGAATTGCTGAGACAATGAGTACATGTTTAATGCAATAGTTTTAAAAATACACTTTTATTTCTATAGTATGGAGTCCCAGAAATGTGATTGCTGAATCAATGGGTACATTCGTAATGAAATTGTTTTTGAATTACATTTTTATTTCTATACGACAGTGTTCCCTGAATGGGATTGCTGAGTAAATGTGTACATTTTTAATGTAATAATTTTCAAATACCGTTCTAAGAAAACCAAGAGTTTTGAGAAGGCTTTTGTTGCTATTTTTGCTGTTTTTTAAAGGGGCTGAGGGAAATGTCTACTGGTTGGTACTGGGTTAACTTTCATGTTTCAACCAGAGAAGTCTTCCTTTTATACATTTAACATATTGCTATGGTAGCTGTTGATAGCTATCCATCAGAATCCATTTTCCTTTCCCTGGGCATACATCAACACTATATTTTCTAGCTTTCCTTGCTTTTACTTGTCGCTGTGTGACAGAGTTCTAGGCAGTGGAAAAAGAGCAGAACAAATGAGATCAGTGACTCCCAAGCTCGTCCCATAGAAGTGTCCCACATACCCTCCATCTATCTTTCTTCTGGCTGAACTAGAGGAGGCTATCATGGTTGGTGAACTTGTAAGCCACATTTTGAAGCTTGGAGAAGCTCTGTAAGTCTAAGTGATTATGGGGAGAAAATCCTGTTGCTGACTAGAGAAACTCATCTTGGGAAAATAATTTGTTTAAAAAAGTATTATGTTTGAACCATGATACACTTTGGAATCAATTTGTTACACAGCCAGCACCAACCTAACTAATAATTGCATGACTTGAGCAGAAAAAAAGCTTTTTGAAGTCTGGTACTCTGTTTCAGTAATGTCCTATTCGTTTTTTTAATATAATTTCCGAAAGAATAAATAACTTAATTTTCTAATAATAGTGACAAAGATGATGATTTTAGAAATGAAATAAAGCAAGTTGTTTAAAAAAGTACAGTGTGCTCTTACGAGCTTGGACCTTAGTAATTATTTCCAGCTTCAGGTCACAAGAAAATAACACTAAGCCATATATAGATTTCAATTTTTCAACCTCTATTTCAGAATCTTATAAAAGATGAGAGTATGGTCTGTCTTTTAATAAATTAAGCTTTGGATGCTGATAAATGTGTGATAGTCTTTAATAAAGTAGGATAAAATCAAGATTAAAATGTGACCACTGATAATATTTGTGATGCCTGTTAACAAGAGCAACAGTAATATTACAAAATAAAGACCAGGAGAAAGACATTATTCCTTTCCATGAAGTAGAAATAGATTACATCAGTTTCTTTCCCTTTTCGTATTTTTCCTTCCATCATTAATTGTGTCATGAAGCAAAATTAGATTTGTCTTCCAAAATTTGTTCGAAGAAAAATATGATTTTTTTCTCTTTATTTCCTTCCTTTCTCCCTTCTTTAATAATGTCATCAAAAAGCCATTAAACAGACAAGCATAGAAGGAGGCCTGGTGAGTCTTGAGGTCCATGTGAGGAAGTAAGACAAATATAGTGTAAGCTGTTGGTGTCAGAATGTTGGTTATGTATAGGGGATTGAGAAATAATTAGTAGATAGATTTCTCAATATTAGATAAAACAATTACAAGTTTGAAAAGGAGGGAACCTAGAATGAAGATTATGGTGATGGGATAGAATTGAAGTTATTAGTGTAAACTAATACAGACACACACATATGTACATATATAATATATTTAAAATAGATATATATTTATATATTACATATATATTTACACACACATACATATGTATCATTCATAATTATGTACACATGTGTTCATCTACGTAGTATACGGCTACACACACACATAAACGCACACACACACAAACACACACATCTTTGTCCTCATTTTGTCCAGTAAAAAGGCCACAGAGTACCAAGCAGCAATAAAGTAAGTGCTGAAATCTTGGTTTCTGAATTTGTTTCCCACTAAAAGGAACCAGATCTCCTTGAAGAAATGGCTACTTCTAAAATTGAGAAAGGGAAAGGACAACATAAACCTGTAATATCTCATGTCAAAAATTACAGAATGTAAGTCATTTCTAAAAGATTAAGTTTAAAAATAGAACATTGTACACTTAACGGTTTGCTTTAGAATAGCATTTTTAATCTACATTTTATGACTTTAAAATAATCTATACTTACATAGTGGTCTATATAAAAGTTAAAACGATGTACAATAAACTTTTTTACATTTTAAATATAGAATTCTTTCTACTTCATTACAATCATTAATTTATAAGTATCATATTTTCTTATATAAAATAACATCAGAATATATCATTGTTATGATAATATTTTGCTAGTTTAAGGAGAGACAAAGTGGCCAATAGAACAGAAGAAAGAGTCCAAAAACATACCATACTTCTGTGGTCACCTGATTTATCCCAAAGGCAATAATGCAGTGTAAAAAGGAGAAGATGGGCTGAGCGCAGTGGTTCAAGCCTGTAATCCCAGCACTTTGGGAGACCAAAGTGGGCAGATCACCTGAGGTCGAGAGTTCGAGACCAGCCTGGCCAACATTGTGAAACCCCGTCTATACTAAAAAAAAAAAAATACAAAAATTAGCTGGGCTTGGTGGCGGGCACCTGTAATCCCAGCTACTTGGGAGGCTGAGGCAGGAGAATTGCTTGAACCTGGGAGGCGGAGGTTTCAGTGAGTCAAGTTCGCACTATTGCATGCCAGCCTGGGCGACAAGAGTGAAACTCTGTCTCAGAAAAAAGAGGAGAAGATGGTATTTTTGAAAGTCTCTTGACCCACTACCCTCACATCATACACAGAAGTTATTTTAGGATGGACTGAAATTTTAAACAAGTAAAACAAGAAAACTTTTAATGGAAAATATAGGAGAAACTCTCAGTGACCTTGGAAGAGCAGACTTTTTTGGAACAATACAAAATTTATGACAATGATGGAAGAAAGCTAAAATAAACTTTATTAAAATTAATAAACTTACATTTAACAAAATACACCATTAAGAAAAGAAAATGGTAATCTACTAATTGGGAGAAAATATTAACAACATATACATCCTTCAAAGAACTCATTATATACATATACAGAGCCACAAATTAATAAAAACACAGATAACTTGATGGAAAGAAATGCACAAAACACTTGAATAGATAGCTTGATAAAAGCAGATATCCAAATGGCCAATGAACATCCGAAAAATTGTGCAATTTCATTAGTCTTCAGATAAATGCAAATTAAGACCACAACCTGATACCACTGCATGCACTTCAAGGTAATGGGAAAGCAGAAAATAATGTGAGCCAACCAACACTCTCATGCAATACTGATAGGAAAATATGTTGGTACAAACACTTTTAAAAAGTGTTTGGTGGTATCTGCTAAATATTGACAAATAAATACCATATGACCTAGCAGTTTATTCTTAGGTATACGCCCAATAGTTATGCCTGTGTATATTCACCAAATAACATGTATTGAAATATTTGTAGCAGCACTATTTTTATTAACCCTAAAGTTTCAGCTAATTTGTGTACAATTATTAGGAGAATGAATAAATAAATTATGGTATATTAATGAAGTGGAATACTATGCAACAATGAGCACAAATGATATAACACTACCTGAAAAAAATAGAGATAGATTTTATAAACATAAAATTACATGAAAGAATCCAAACTTAAATGATCACACTGCATGATTCTATTTACATAAAGTATAAAACAGCTCAAACTATTTTATAGGTTAGAAGTAAAGAAAGTGAGCATCTTCAATGGGAGGGGGGTTATTGAGTGAAAGGAGCATGAGACCTCTTCTAAGAAGCAGATAATTTTTCTTCTTAATTTGAGTGCTAATTATACAGATGTCTCCATTTTTGGGAAAATGCATTGGGCTGTATATTTATTTCTGTGCACTTTTCTGTTTTACATACATATCAATAAAAAGCTGTGAAAAAATGGAAGTTAGGAAATAAGAATAAGTCTTCATCATACACCGAATGGAAACTGAATATAAGAAAGCACAAAAAAGTATGAAGCTTATAAATGTGAATTAAAAGTCTATAAAGTTAGATGTTACCCTGATGTGATTATTATGCACTGTATGCCTGTATCAAAATATTTCATGTACCCCATATATATATATCCATATGCTATGTGCCCATAAAAATTAAATTTTTTTTAATTAAATGTATTCATAATTATTTTAGTAACTTATTGACAGATATATTTAAATAAGTGTGCTTTGGAATAAGTCATACAACTCAATTAAAACTTTCTATAGCTTTTATGAATGCTAATAAAAAGTTTCATTTCTGCAGTTGTCACAAGGTATACTTCTGAAAAACAGTCTAGCTTCACAGCAGTTCTCACTGTAACTGTAGGAATTTCTGACATGGAAATTTTTTCCCTGTAGTTTTGTAAAATTCACCATATACACACACACACACACACACACACACACATACACACGTATTATATAATTAAATGTGAGACATTA
Source organism: Homo sapiens (assembly GCF_000001405.40). Taxonomy (NCBI): domain Eukaryota; kingdom Metazoa; phylum Chordata; class Mammalia; order Primates; family Hominidae; genus Homo; species Homo sapiens. The sequence goes on along the minus strand of NC_000003.12, from coordinate 164,563,486 downwards.
AATATATAATGTATATTATATATACATTTAAATATATAATTTATATGATATATTTAATGTCTCACATTTAATTCTTAAATATAGATGGTCTGAAATCTAACAGTAAATTTTACTTTTAGAAATTTCAATCATTCAATCATCACTTATTAACAATTAATATAGTGGACAATTTAGTGAAACAGAACTCAATTTATGCATATTTCTTCCTTGTCTGCTGTTTTGTTCTTTTCTACTTGCAGTAAATAAGTCCTGGAAAGTTACCTTTTTCTCTTTTTGGAATCTTTGATAGTGTTCAGCCTCACGAAGAAGTCAGTTGATCTCTACCATTTTGGGAAAGGAGGCAAGGTGAAAGAGCACTTTTTGAGTTTCATAATAAGAAAGAGAAAGCTTCCCAATCCTTAGTTTGATAACCAAGCTTATAAAAACAGTAACTGCTGTAAATTTGCAAGGTGAACAGCTAAACATACACTTCTGAGGTGCCAAGCAGCTTAGAGGATTATATGCATTTGAAAGAACTGAAACCTAAGGAATATCTCCCTGGGAACTTAGGGAACAATCTAAGTTGACTCTGACAAGGAATGAGTGGAGTTGCCACTGGAATCAGTTTCAAGATTCCAGTGAAAGATTGCTCTAGGCTCTGCCTAGATCAGGTCAAGCAAGATAGAACTGCATCAGGATCTTGACTGCAGCAGTCAGACTAGGAAAGTTTAGTGCTCAACAACAACACATTTTGACAGCTATATGTAAGAGTAGCCATGGGTTGATTGAAAACCAAAGCCATCTTTGCTTGCGTATGGAAATGATTCGATATCTTTTGGAATGTGAAAATTATTTGGAAATGGATTATAAGAAATAATCTTTAAGATGAAAAGCTATCAAGCTTTCTGCCACTCTAGCCAGTGGGTCCCCGAAATGAATTTAATTTGAGAAAGAAAGTAAAGGAAATTAACCACGCATCTGAATGTTGTGGATCATTTCCTATTGCTTACTAGTTACCATATACCTAGACACCAAAAAGCAAAACAACAAAAAGAGAAACAAAAATTAAAAAAAAAATTACCCTAAAAAAGTAAATATAGAGGCTGAAGAAAGCATGTTAGTAATAAATATATTGGGATATTTGAGATTTTATCTAAGTAGCAGGTAAAGCATAGAATGTTCCTGAGAAAAAAATTCAATATAAAACAAAATAATGAAATTATATGACAGTAATGCAGAAAGACTAAGTTAATATCTTTTTGTTGTTTGTACTACGATGTAGAATATTGCAATCAGCTTGGGTCACCATGTTCAAAAAGAATATTGAAAGAATAAAACTAAATAAACCAAAATAAAAACATAAATGATAACAAATAGGTAAGATGGAGAAAAAAATTTAAATGCAAAAAGAAGAGAATGTTTGGATTTATATTAGCCATAAATATAAAGATGCTCAATTAAAAATGTTCTTATCCTAGAATGCTCACTTAGAAATGCTCAAAATACAAGTATTTGGATGTATAAAAGCCATGTCAAAGATGGTATACAAAAGTAGATAAGTTAAAGTAATATGTTTTTTTTTCTTTTAATTTAAAAACTCTGGGCCGGGCACGGTGGCTCATGCCTGTAATCCCAGCACTTTGGGAGGCCAAGACCGGCAGATCACGAGGTCAGGAGATCGAAACCATCCTGGCTAACAGGGTGAAACCCCGTCTCTACTAAAAACACAAGAAAATTAGCTGGGCATGGTGGTGGGCGCCTGTAGTCTCAGCTATTTGGGAGGCTGAGGCAGGAGAATAGCGTGGACCCGGGAGGCGGAGCTTGCAGTGAGCAGAGATTGTGCCACTGCACCCCAGTCTGGGTGACAGAGCAAGACTCCACCTCAAAAAAAAAAAAAAAACAAAAAAAAAAAACTAAAAAAACCAACTCTGACAGAGTTAGCTATCTTCAATGGTTTGATTCTTTACTAATAATTTCTTATTGTTAACAGTTGTACCTAATAATTTCTTTTCTAGCTTAGTGATTTTTTTTTTTTTTTTGAGATGGAGTTTCACTCTTGTTGCCCAGGCTGGAGTGCAATGGCACCATGTCGGCTCACCGCAACCTCCGCCTCCTGGGTTCAAGCAATTCTCCTGCCTCAGCCTCCTGAGTAGCCAAGATTACAGGCATGCGCTACCACACCCGGCTAATTTTATATTTTTAGTAGAGATGGGGTTTCTCCATGTTGGTCAGGCTGGTCTCGAACTCCCGACCTAAGGTGATTCACCCACCTCGGCCTCCCAAAGTGCTGGGATTACAGGAGTGAGCCACAGTGCCTGGCAAACACTGATGTAATTAACAATACAACAGTTTGTTATTTCCTTCTTTTATATATAGTCAAAACATTACTATGTATTTGTTAGATGTTAGGTAATGCACTAAGCTATAGGAATTCACTAGAAATGCAACTGTGATTAAAATATAGTATTATTTCTAGATTTTTAGTTCCTTTCTCTCTCCCCCCCGCCACACACACACAAATGCGTGTCTATCTGTATCTATATTTATCATATTGCACAGTAGTCAACAACTTATGGCCCATGGACCAAATTCTGTCTTTCTCCAATTTTTGCATGGCCCATGATTTTTATACTTGTAAACGGCTGAAAAAAAAATCAAACGATCATATGTTGATATGTGAAAATTATGCAAAATTCACATTTCAGGGTCTGTAAATAAAGTTTTATTGGAACACAGGTACACTTATTTGCTTATATATTATCTATGGCTGCTTTCATACTGCAATAGCAGAGTTGAGTAGCTGCAAAATAGTATATATCACTTGAAAAGTCTAAATTATTTACTGTATCTTTATGAAAACTGCTTGTTGTAACAGATATTTGCATTAAATATGTTTTTTCACCTTTAATTATAAGTGAATACGCATATATATATATACCCATCCTAGAGACAGCAGAACGAGTCATAGGAAACCAGGTTGTAAATATAATGAAAAATGACATATATATGTTTCTATTGGCAACATAATTTAGATCAAAAGGATTATAGTCTAGTGTTTTTAAAATGATGCAGGGGAAAAGGGGAAGGGAAGAAAAAAGTGAATATTTATAAATTTATTCATAAAATCTTATAAATTAAACAAAAAACAACTACTGTGTGCTTTTCATATGCTTTTTTAACCAAAAATATCTATTTTAAAAATATTTAGTTAAAATTTATTGATAGGTATAGGAAGGGGTAACTACCTATGTGTATACCTCTTTCTTATGTGAAAATGTCATCCTTTCATAGAGTATGAATGCATTGTCCTACAACTCATACATTGAAAGAAAACTTTCATAGGACTTCATGTATCAGAAGACATCACTTTAAAGAAAGTCAGTAGCAGTTCTAGAGTATTTGAGAGTCACCTTTTCAAACCATTAGTTCATATAAAAAGTGAAAGCAAGATAGAAAGGTATAATGTGGTTATGCCATAGGGTTTTGCTCTTTTCCCATAAGAATAATGAGTGTTTTCATTTTAAAATACAATTTAAAATATGATGCAAATACAGTGCAAAAACTACAGATGAGTTTTTCTACATGGTAATGACTAGGTAATACTAAATCACATTTCAGCTAAACTCCAAAATGTTTCACAATTACACTGTGGTTTGTGCCCTTGTTCACGTTCATGCCTTGTCATTATGCTCCTTGTACATTCAATTTATTTTTTTCTTACTCTGTTAGCCACATCACCCTCTAAATCAGTAATGGATTTAATTGGATAGAATAATAACCAAGAGCATTTTATTTTCAGAAATGAAATTATATAAATTGTGGTTTGCTTAGTTATTTGTAAATTATGAGTTCTATAAATAATAGCAAGTCATCATATGTTTAGTTTATCAGAAACTTTGAAACTTTTCATGTCATGGTGATATGGTTTGGTTGTTTTCCCACCCAAATCTCATCTTGAATTGTAGTTCCCATAATTTCCACATGTTATGGGAGGAACCTGGTGGGAGATAACTGAATCATAGGGGCAGTTTCCCTCATACTGTTCTTGTGGAACTAAGTCTCATGAGATCTGATGGTTTTATAAGGGGTTCCCCCTTTTGCTTGGCTCTCATTCTCTCTTGCCTGCCACCATGTGAGATGTGCTTTTTACCTTCTGCCATGATTGTGAGGCCTCCCCAGCCACTTAGGACTGTGAGTCCGTTAAACCTCTTTTTTCTTTGTAAATTACCCAGTCTTGGATATGTCTTTATCAGCAGCTTGAAAACAAACTAATACACATAGTATGCTTGAAAAATTATATTGTCTACACAGTACACTGGTGTAAAGAGTTGGGTCTGCTTTCATCAGTAGATGATTGACAAGGGGGCTCTAGTCAACTGCAGAACAACTTAACTACACTTAAGGATGTAGGGGGATAAATATTGGCTGTCTTAGACTGGGATACCCCAAAGTAGACCCCGAGAAAAAGAGTTGCAGATAGAGATAGTTTATTTGGAAAGTGAAAACAGGGAGTGGAAATGATGGACACAGAAAGAAGGATGCATTTTGTCATGATGGCCACTACTGAGAGCTACTGAGGCCAAGGCACAAACTTTCCACCTGGTGTACAAAAGGAGGTAGTACTTGTTTATTTATTGGCTTCTGCTCTCCATTGGTCAAGAGTATCCCCATGGGCTAGGAGCACCCACTTCCAAATTGCACATGTCATGGGTACTTAGTGGATTTTCATGCTGCTCAGGGGCACTTGAGAGAGGGCCTGCAACAAGAAGGGAGAGGCACACACTGAGGCCTGAGATGAGGTTGCATCTCTGCAACATTGGTTTAAATGTGCATGGAGCTTCGCACTACAGTAGCCACAATCAGCAGAATTTGAAGTGGCAAGCAGCAGGTGTTGGTCAGCCTTAGCCCTTTAAATAGCCTTGACCCACTAACTATGCTTTGGAGTCACATACCTGTTGGGAAGTGGAGCCCCAGAGGCAATAAATAAATGCTGCAAAAAGTACATAAATGTAAGTTAGAATTATTCCTCTAGGAACACTTTCTATTCAATTCCTCATTGGTTTGTTTCAGTTTTTACATATAAATCTCAGTATGGTTTTACTTCTTTTGTGTTTGTTAACATAGCTGTACTTCATTTTGATGCTGATTTGGCAACCACTTATACCACTGCCTCTTGTGACTGATCTTTAGCATGCTATGTCAGTCCATCTCATATACAAATAAACCAAAGAGAGAGAGAGAGAGAGAGAGAGAGAGAGAGAGAGAGAGATGCCTTTGTGACAAAATTTTTAAAAGTTTAAGAGAAAATTCTTCCTGACTAGGGAAGGTTAAGAGATCATCAGGATATCTGTAATATAGTCAAGCTAAAGATAGTGTGGAATCCAGATAAGTCACAGATGAGATCAAAGGGTTGAGTCAGTTCCAAATTGTTACAACCTTGAAATGTCACTTTCCAATATAATAAACTTCAATAAGATTTGTGAAACCTTATTAGATACACAGCTAACCTTGTTTGGTTAATTTAGGCAGTAGATATAAGAGATTCCATTCATGTTTGGTCTGGCAATATTCACAACTTGATGCTTAATGAATTAATATTTCTTCTTTTCCTGCATTGGTTTTGAGGAATTGTGATTTGTTGTACCTTAATTTCAATGTCCATTTAGCTATTAGAATTTGTTTCACACATAATTTTAATGGATGTTAACATTTCTTCCATTGCCATGTAATCATTAAAATTTTTCATACCTGCAAACTTGCTGAATCTAGTCACGTTTGTAATCTGCAAGTTGGCCTCTTATACAGCTGAATTCAAGTAGCTCAAGGTTATTATTGGATATTCATTTTCCATTTATTTAAACTTATGAATAATAATCCTTTTTATTTATTCACTATTTCCTCTTACTTCATTTCATCAAAATAAAAATATACTTATGACAGTATATGATATTTTAAGTGAAAAATGTGGTTTCCAAAAATGAAAAGATCTACTCATTCAAAATCCAAAACACAGAATCGAGAGCAGGTAATAAAAATGTATTGGACATATTAGTAAAATACTATTTAAAAAGGAAATAGCACTGAACCAGTGGTCAGTATTAGAGTGGAGACTTGAACATGGCACATGTCCTCTGCACATCATTTCCTCCATCATAAGATTACACAATTGGAATACGTGCTTTCTAAGGAATCATCTAATTCAAATAGTTTTGATTCATAGAGAGTCAGTTTTTAGTAATCTGTAAGTGAACTTAATTATCTATTCTTTACTATCTAATGGTATATGAAAGTTATGCTTAACTATATAGATATTAATGTCATCATAAGTAAAATGGGTACATATATGTACACAGACATTCTCTCTGTATTATCATTCTGTCCGTATATTCAGAGCATAATATCTCATCTGATTAACTTTACATGAGTCATCATAATTATTAGGCTCTTACTAGCACTGCAATTCTCAGAATAAGAAATGACTGGGCAGGCAATCTAGTTCAAATTCACACTCAGTGAAGGAATTTTTTACGTTTCATACATTAAAGATAGTCACCCAGAATTTCTGTTAATACCTCCAATAATAAGATAATTGTAGTAACAAAAAACCTTACCAACACTCAAGGCAACCCATTCAATTTTAAGTAGATTCAGTTGTTCAATTAAATCAAATTTATTTATTGGTCATTTATAGCAATCCAAATACTGTTCTGGGCATTTGTAATAACTGTCCTTATACTGAAGATGTGCTTCAGTGCATTTTTTCCAATTAGATTATGTGATTAATGAATAAATTGATATACCTTAAGACTATGGTTTTTTTTCAAAATAATTGAAATAGCAACCTACACATCTTTGTTAGAGTCATCATTGTTAATTTTCCATTCAGGGAAGTAGTCTGATTCTTTCTAACTCTCTAGTGGCATATTCAGCATAAGGGAAAATAATTACAAGAGTATAGATACACTCTCTGTACTGTTGTCTTTTCCTGCCATTTCTCAGTGTAGCTTTGACAGGTAATGTAAGTTTGCCCTATTCTATGGGTAGTTAGACAACATTTTCTTCATAAATTGTCAGCATGTTCTCTCTTCAAAGTTGTAAGGATGACCTTAAACAAAGACAAATGTCTTGTTAGAATACTAAATTTCCTCTAAAAAAAGTCTTGTTAGAATACTAAATTTCCTCTAAAAAGCCCTACCCTTCAGACCAAATATCAAGATATTTTCTTAAAAGTATACCTAAAACTTTGAAACACAAATAAGAGTAGATCTAAATTAGTGATTTCCTGAACTTCAATATCTGTACATTGGGATTTACTTAAAATTCTCCCAGGTTTCCTTAATAATATTATTAATTGGATAAAACCATCACATCACAGGAAACGTTTTGTAGTGAAAAGATTTTGGTATCTCTTTTTAATTTGTATTACTCCAGTCATTCTTAAATTACTCTGAGGCACGCCATGAATAGCAGCTACCCAGGATTTGTCACTGCTGCTCTCCTTTCTATATCTAGAGTAAAATTTATCTCTACTCAATTAAGGGTTTTCATTTTTAAAGAATATTGAATTACTGTGACATATAGTGTTACATAATAATCTGGATATAAAATACTAGCCTGAAATCTTCTTTACTTCTAGAAAGTACCTGTGCAATTTATCAGTTAACTCTGTAGAAGATGCTCTTAGTTTCTTCACATAACACTCAAAAGAATAGCATCTCTACTAATAACTGGATATGTAACTCATGTGGAATAGTAAGATGGCATCATTGTTTACTTTTATGCAATAGGGTGGAGAAAGTTAGCAAGAGTCTTCAGATTATATTATACAATCACAAACTACATCAAGGGAGATGCATATTTAATAAAAATTTATTCTATAAAGTTTTTGACTTATTACTTCAATTAATACATTCTGAATGCTACTATGTATAAGGCACTTGGAGTACAGAATTGGAAAAACAAATCTACTTTGAGGAATTTTTATTTAATTTAGTATAAAAGCCAGCCAATACAGCTGTTATTCATAAACTACTATTTCCTACCTTTTAAATTTGGTAGCATTTATAGCATTTAACTACACACTAAACCAAATAGCAAATATGGAGAAGGTAGATAGCTTCTATAAATTGTCAGCATAAATCTAATCATGATATCATGTGAATTAATCTTTGTTCTAAATAAATAAAGAAATAAATAGATTGGGGGAATTGGTTTCAGTGTGAGGTGATTGTTTTGTTTTGTTTTGCTTGTTTTTCTTCCTTGTAAGATTTACCTACCATCACTCTTTAAATGCAGAGTAATTCAAAAGCCCTTTAAGTCTTGGAAGACTGCTGCTGCTTAAATGTCAGTACAATGATGGTGGAGAAATTGAAAGCCAGCAAGGTAGCAATTAGGCAAACAAATAAATAGGAAAAAATAGCGTGTGGAAGAATAAAAGATTATTTTCATACTTAAATAAATTTTTCAAGAGATAATGATGCTTTGGATACAGAACTGGTGTTACCAGAGCAATTGTTTGACAGATTTATTTTTCCCATTGAAAAATTAGATGTCACATGTTCTTTTTCCACGATTGTATGATGGTTGCAGGTCATTATGGAACTTTAATGAACTTGAACTATGATTACTTTGATCCCTGTTATACAACTGAACATTTATTTTTGTTGCTGTCCTTGTTTTAGTTTGTTTATTTTAAAGAAGAATCCAAAAAGTCCTAGCAAAGAGAGGATTTTGTTCATTGGGGAAAAACGTGATTGGTGTTCTAGTAATGTTTCATTACACTAATCAAATATCCTGAAAGTGTATTTATTCTTCCCCTTCAAATAGAAGCATATGGTATAGAGTACGGGCCAGGAAACTACAATTTGTCATCTATGTTTGTAAATAAAGTTTTACTGGAACACAGCCATGGTCATCCATTTAAATACTGTCTGTGGCTAATTTTGCACTCACAGGCAAAGTTGAAGATTTGTGACATAGACTATTTGGCATGGCTTGCAAAACCTAAAATATGTATTATCTGGTCCTTTATAGAAAATGTTTCCTGACCCCTTCAACAGAAATGAAGAAGAATGTACTGCCAGAGAATGGAATAAAAACCAATGTGCAGAATATGCACTATTCAGTAAGATAAAAAGGAAGAAAGAGTGGAATGAAGTGAAGATAAGCAGAGAGATGGTAAAGGTAGCAGAGGAAATATATATGAAAATGTTTACAGAAATATGGAGCAATTTTAAAGGTGAAAAATGTCTTGATAGTAGTAATTAAAATTCTTATCTTATATATTGAAAATTGGAGACATTAGAAAGGCAATACATGACAAGCCAGAAGGAGGCAAGATTTAGGTCAAGTGCCTAAATAAATCTAGTATGATAAGGCTCCATGAAAACAAACCTGGTTTTAAGGGAAAAGGATAGAAGCACTGTGTGTACTTTTCTGAGGCTCAAGAACCATACTAATCTCGAGCATAATGTGTAAATGGGAAGTTCAAGGAGAAATGTCAAGAATTGACAGCAAATGTATTAGCGAACAGGTGTTAGGCAGCAATTATCTGTGAAGGCTGTATGCAGGATTCGTCAACCCATACTCTGCTGGACCACTATACAGATAAATTAAATCCTGGGGAAGTGGTAGTCACAACAGTAGCCTCCTGCTAAGAATCGTACCCCTGGAAAAAAGTGAAGGTATAACTTGAGAAGCAATTCAGGTGTCAATAGTGATCACACTATTGCAGAAGATGAAGATTGACCCGGTAGCAATGCATGCATCGTGATGATGCCAGCAGAGAACTTCTTTATCTTTTGAAGGAAACTAGTGAGTGAAATGGTGTTACTTTTCTGATCGCCAACTTTCATACAGAGCAGATGTATAGACACATATTAGTAGACTTTTTGATATCCTTTGTGGAGGTCAGTGGAAGGAAGCCGTCAATGCTGGCGACATGCATCACTGTGAGTGAGGAGTTATTTATGAATTTTCAAAACTTATGGTTGAATCTGGTAACTTTTCTTCTCATTTTCCCCAATGCATCTTTGAAGTTGTCTTATTACTCAAGTGTTTCTGTTTCTCGTGGTTTGTTGTTTGTTTTTTGCTTATTTGTTTGTTTGGTCGTTTTCCTGGTATAAAGCCTGCTGTTTAGATAGAGAAATTAATGACTTTAGTTTTGCATTTTGGAAAATAGAGAGAGAAGGGAAAAGAAGGATAGATTAATGTCTTTGTCGTAGCAACAAAGTTAGACATATTTTAAGAATTAATAGTTGAGCCTGAGAGACAAGTACTATATTTTTACATGGCAAAGTGTGGATGGATAATACACACTAAGGATGAGGAGAAAAGTCAATAAACACTGCCTTCAAAACCTCTGGCCAGTTCACTGTTGCCAACTCCCTGTGTATCAGAAATTGTAAACTCTACAATGTGCTGTATTATGTATGTTTAATTTGGTAAAATATAAGCTAGCTTTTGGGATTTATATTAATACAGTCATGTGCCTCATAACCATCTTTTGGCCAATGATGGACCACATATGCCACGGTGGTCTCATAAGATTATAATGGAGCTGAAAACTTCCTATCACTTACTGATGCTGTAGCCATTGTAACATCCTAGCACAACATAATACTTTTTATATGTTTAGATACACAAATACTTACCATTGGGTTACAATTGCCTATAGCATTCAGCACAGTAACATGCTGTACAGGTTTGTAGCCTAAGAGCAATAGGCTACACCATATAGCCTAGGTATGTAGTACACTATACCATCTAGGTATGCATAAATGTGCTCTATGATGTTCACACTTTGATAAAATCACCTAATAACACATTTATCAGAACATATCTCTGTCATTAAGCAACACACGATTGTATTCAAGTATTTTTTGGTGTAGATATTGTGTAAGAATCCTATCAAAGGTAGTGGCTGCATTTAAATGTTCTTAACATTAGTTGTATCTATTGATTTTCCCGTTAACCTGGGGACATGGTAAGTTATGACTGAACTTTGCTTATGTTCCTACCTACAGCAGAGAAAGAGAGGAGAAATAAAATAGTGTGAAGACTTTGTAGAGAGCATATTATACTTTGGAGTTAATACTTATATTAGGAAGTAAATATTCTCAATCCTCTAATATTTATTGAGCCAGATTTTCATAATGTATAAATATTATCCAGTTGCAAATAAGGAATTAACTTTAGCAATGAATGAAGGAACACTGAAACATTACACCTGTCCTTTGGAATAGTATATTAGTAACTCCAATGAATACATACAGCTCCCCAAAGAGCTGAATGGAAAACTAGAGAAAAGTCTTGGTATAAACTAATCTGATTCACTGATGTTTCTTTGGATTTATGGCATCAAATATTTAGGCACTCCAGATCAATATTTTGTTTTTTTTTAAGTAAAAATCATCAATAAATTAGTTATTGGCCATCACGTAAAGTTTTATGCTTTTAATTTTTGATCCAATGTGGAATAATGTGGGAGTAATTTTTATATTCCATCATTTTATAAACGTCAAAATTAAGGGCAAATTATTGGTCTATTACAATACACAAAAAGCTACCATTTATATTCCAGTAATTGCTGCTTCTCTACTAATTCTGATCATAACAGAGAACTTTACTATACTTAAGTACACTTTTAAATATACTTCTAAACTAATTGCACCTCCTTATTTCTAGAAGATTATAACCCTACCTTTTACTTGTTTTGAATGTAAAGTCTTCTTACACAGTTAATAGAAAATCAAGACTGCTTAGAACTGTAGAAAAGTGACCTAATGCAATTGCATTACAGGCTACCATTTATAGTTTACTTGTAGAATTTTTCACTTCAATGTATATTGGCAATTTTTTTATATATGCATATGGATTTTTAAATTATTAAAATTCTCTTTTCGCAATTTGTTTAAACTAATCCTTAAAATATTTCTAAAAATTCTATTTTCAATAAGTCTATAATGCTTGTAAATTAAATAAAATGCTTACTATTACATTTAAACCACTCTTCATCTGTTTAACCCCTCAATTATTTGGAATGTTTATCCTGGCTGTATTGTAATGTAAATGTTTATTTTGTTGATAAATGTTTAAACATTTAAAAATGCCTTCTAAATTAAACAAACAATGTTCCACAGAAGTGGTTCAGAAATTTGAGGGTAAGAGTTTCATATTTTTAAAATTTCATATCATAATTCTTGAGCTGTGATAATGTAATATTAAATTTCATTTGCATGCTTAAGTTTTACCATTTTTATCTAAAGTAGAAATGTGTCTGAGAAAATTGATGTTACAAATTTCAAGCTTTCATTGGAACATGTTAGTATTTCAAAATGCTACTTAAAAGGCCATACTCTGAAATAGAAGCATGAGGATATGCTTGTGTCTTATTGGAGGCTTAACAATTATTGGTTGGAAGTTGCAAGTCTGCTAGCATTTCCTCCTGGTGGTGAAAAGCAGAGGGTTCAAGTGAACACATCAGTGGTTAAAAGCAGTTTCTACCAATCCTTAGTGCTGTGAACTTAATTCACTTTACTTCTGACCACAATTCCTCTGTCCTTAACACTGAGAAATAATAATTGCACAAGGTTGTTATAAAGATTAAATGGAATAATATTTCTAAAAAGAGATTATACTTAGCATATAGTATTCTCTAAAAAAGGGCGGTTATTTTTTAAATTATTATATTTTTACTATTCTCATTCATGCAACATGCCAACGTTTCTAATTCCAGGTAGAAAAATCATTAATAAATATTCATGGGCATAATTGAAAGGTAACAATGAGAAAAAAAATTCAGAATGAAAATATTTCAAGATAATAAAATCAATAAAAGTGAAATGTAAAAACAAAAAAATATCAAAGTGAACTTTAAATTCTACTACCAGAGGCATTTTAAACAAAGTAGATTTAATGAAAGGAATCAATTATTGACTCAGATTATGAAAGGCTTATTTTTTTTTCTTTTTAAGTGGAGAAAGTGGTAATGAAGATATAGCTACAAACCCTATAACAAGAGGAAAAATAAAAGGATTGGTGCTTTCAGAATATAGTTGCTTAGATGAGGGGACCACACATGTCCTCAGATGCCATGAGGAACTATCTACTGACCCTTAGGGAAACATGGGATGGTGATTTTTGGAGTGCCCATGGGAGCCCAGACTGCAGCTGTACCTATCTTTAGCTTCTAGGGGATGTCTTCCAGAGGTGGAAAAGAAGCAAGTACATTCTTGCTTCATTATTTGCTTCAATCTTTCCTCAGTGCCTCCCATCCTGAACCGAATAAGAAACTAGGTAGTAACAATGTTGGGGACATGCAGTTTTCCTGTTTTTGTCTCAAGCACAGAACAGATTTTAAAAGAGTGATTGGGGCAGAAATAAATAAGTATCACATACATAGAGTTCTAAATCTATTATTTAGGAACAAAGAAAGAAATGATAACAATCTACCAGCTTAACAAAAAGGAAAAAATAAGAACAAAATGAACTTAGACAAATTTTATATTAACCTTAAAATAATAAGAATAGATTAACAGCTGGAGAAATTCAAGTACACTTCATGTTCCTTAAGCAGCCACTTTCACAGGCACATGGGAAAATTAGCTAATTATGTAGAAAGTGTAAAAAGAAATCAAGGCATCAAATTGGCTTAGTCCAGAACTAAATAACTCAATAGAAAAATAGGATTGAGCCTGATATGGTAAATCAGGACAAGCCACAAAGGGAGAGTATAAACAAACAGTACAGGCATATAGGAAAGCTGCTGGAAAGCAGTGCACACAAAATGGCAATGCAGCTTGAGAGGCCTGTTAACAGCAATGAAAACAAAAAACCCACTCAATTATTTGCGTGCAGTGATTGTTTAGAAAGAACATTGGATCTCATTAAAAAATGGTAATATAGATAAATAAATTTATCTAAAAATCATTGTCATTTTTATGAGATGAAAGCTATGTTCTTTTAATTATTGGTGAATTTTAATAGAGTATAGGGTTTCTACTTGGAAGAATGAAGATATAGAGTCAAAAAAAATATTAAAAAGAACAAGCCAAAACCTTTGGCAGTGTTCTTAATAAGCACTTGTTGGTGTCTTGCATCACAGCGTTCATATGTAATCAGCAGGTGCTATTGCAAAGTAATTAGCTATTAATTTTAAGTTCCTTGGTGGGCAGCAGAAGTAGTTTAGGATTATTCAAATTTGAAATCAGGAAAACAATGATTTTGGAAAATATAGAGTTGTCATTTTAATTTGGGGAGAGTTTCCAGAAAAATGCAAGAAATCAAAGAGCAGAGTCATTCTCAAGTAAAAAGTAAGCATTTGAAAATAGTATTTAAATTTAATATAATTTAATTTTTTTTAAAAGAAGTGGTAAACCAAACACATAAAAGGTAGCTGTGGTGACGTAGGTATAAGTTCACACACTGAAAGTCAGCCAGACTAATAGGGTTCAAATCTTGGTACTTGTCCTAAAAATGTTCAGTCTTTCAAAACCTGCATAAAAAATTTCTTGTATTAAGTCTACTTTGTATGAAATGCATTCAACAGAAAAAAAACATCAAGTTTGTATTGATTTTGTTATTTGACAATATTTTAATTTTGAAATGACTTTTCTTATTTTAACCTTTCAATTATGCCAATGAACTTGATTACTTAAAATCTCAGTTTCTTTAACTTCAAATTTGGAATAATAATGTTACATCCTTAGAGGGTGATACAGATTGAACAAGTTAATATGCATACATACAGTACACTCAGAAGAATATCTGATAATATCATAAATTTTAAAATGCTATATATTCTCATTGTCATCTCACAGATAACTTAAAGTTGTCATTTGGTCAAGTATTTTATTCAGTTTCATGATATTTTCTTTTTTTATTATTATTATACTTTAAGTTTTAGGGTTCATGTGCACAACATGTAGGTTTGTTACATATGTATACATGTGCCATGTTGGTGTGCTGCACCCATTAACTCGTCATTTACATTAGGTATATCTCCTAATGCTATCCCTCCCCCCTCCCCCAACCCCACGACAGGCCCCGGTGTGTGATGTTCCCCACCCTGGGTCCAAGTGTTCCCATTGTTCAATTCTCACCTATGAGTGAGTACATGCGATGTTCGGTTTTTTGTCTTTGCGATAGTTTGCTGAGAATGATGGTTTCCAGCTTCATCCATATCCCTACAAAGGACATGAACTCACCCTTTTTTATGGCTGCATAGTAGTCCATGGTATACACGTGCCACATTTTCTTAATCCAGTCTATCATTGATGGACATTTGGGTTGGTTCCAAGTCTTTGCTATTGTTAATAGTGCCACAATAAACATGCGTGTGCATGTGTCTTTATAGCAGCATGATTTATAATCTTTTGGGTATATACCCAGTAATGGGATGGCTGGGTCAAATGGTATGTCTAGTTCTAGATGCTCGAGGAATCGCCACACTGTCTTCCACAATGGTTGAACTAGTTTACAGTCCCACCAACAGTGTAAAAGTGTTTATTTCTCCACATCCTCTCCAGCACCTGTTGTCTCCTGACTTTTTAATGATCGCCATTCTAACTGGTGTGAGATGGTATCTCATTGTTGTTTTGATTTGCATTTCTCTGATGATCAGTGATGATGAGCATTTTTTCATGTGTCTGTTGGCTGCATCAATGTCTTCTTTTGAGAAGTGTCTGGAATCTCCTTAAGCTGATAAGCAACTGCAGTAAAGTCTCAGGATACAAAATCAATGTGCAAAAGTTTCATGATATTTTCATAAGTAATGGATGACTAATAGAGTAATAAGTGAGTCAAATCAGAGCAATTATTTTACCTCTGAAGAAAATAAATTCTCCTCTTTTTTTCTATCCTCAGGTCTATTTCATTCCATTATCAACCTCAGTCTTATCACTCTAACCAAATTATGTTTTTTTCCCACTTTTCTTTGAATTTTTTTATTCTACTTTACATATAAAATCTGCACGCATTTTGCCTCCTCCACTTAGAAACATCTCCCTTCCACTTGCCACATACACTTTAACTTGTCACAGCTTACATTCAGTTTGAAATTAACCTGCTGAGAACATAGTTTTCTGACCTATCATATTATATTAGGTACTGACATCTGATGTCATTTCTCACTCTTTATAACATTTATCATATTTTAATTATCTTTTCATAGATTTATCTTTCTCATTATATATAAGCTCCTTGGGAGCTGCTGCTGTGTCTACCTTATCTAAGAACCAAAATACTAGTTTATCTTAGTGCCTGGAATATGTGACATTTTAAATGTGTTAGTGCATTCTCATACTGATATAAAGAAACACCTGAGACTAGGTAATTGATAAAGAAAATAAGCTTAATGGCTCATGGTTCTGCAGGCTGTACAAGACGCATGATGCTGGCATCTGCTCAGCTTCTGGAGAGGCCTCAGAAACTACAATCATGGTGAAAGGTGAAGGGAGAGTGGGCACGTCACATGGCCAGAGGAGGAGAAAGAGAGCAAGGAGGGAGATGCTGCACACTTTTAAACAATTATATCACACGAGGATTCACTCCCTATCCCAAAGACAGTACCAAGTGGGACGGTGTTAAGACATTCCTGAGAAATCTGCCCCATAATGCAATCACTTCCCAGCAGGCCCCACCTCCAACATTGGGGATTACATTTCAATATGAGATTTGGGCAGGGACACACATCCAGGCTATATCACCATAAATGTGTGTTTGAAGTGTTAATAAAAATTTTTATGCAAATAAGAATTAGTGTAGGTGTTCTAGTTTTAAAAATGATAAAGTGGCTTTTATTGAATTGACCTCCTGCAAATAACAATTATAAAATAAATCTGAAAATAAATTTTTAATTACTATTTGAAATCTCTGGAGAATGAATAAAAGCAGGTAGAAGTTGGAAAAATTCGACACTTGAAAAAAGCATACTGGAAAAAATCGATTCTTATATGTTTTTTATATTGAGGGAACTCACTGGTCTGTTTGGTGTGATGTAAATAGAACCTAAGCAGAAAGATTTTTGGCCTGATGGGCTGAATTTGTGGCTGCCACAACAGGTGAAGTATCTGCATCAAAATTGTCTTTGAATCATTGACTGACTCCCAAACTATGCAGGCATGGGAAGACTCCAAGCAGCTCAAAAAAAAAAAAAAATGCACACAACTGGATGGCTGAGAGAACTGTGCAGAGATTTCAATTTTTGCTCAATGCAAGAGAGAGAGTTGTTGTTATTGCTATTTATTATTATTATCTTTTTTAAGTTCAGCTATTATTTTTGGTACAGGAGGTACATGTGTAAAATTGTTGCATGGACATGTTGGATGCGGGTAGTGAGCATAGTGCCCAATAGTAGTTTTTCAAACCAGGCTCCCTTCTCACCCTCCCCACTCTGTATTCCATAGGGTCTATTGTTTCTATGTTTATGTTCATTGGTGCTCAATGCTTAGCTCTCACTTATAAGTTCAAATATTCAGTATTTGGTCTTTTGTTCCTGGATTAATTCACTTAGGATTACAGCCTCCAGATCCACCCTTTTTGCAGAGGACATGATTGTATTCTTTTTATGGCTGTGAAGGATTTCATGGTATATATATGCCACATATTTTCTTCATGCAATACACCATTGATGAGCATCTAGGTTAATTACATGTCTTTGTTATTGTAAATAGCACAGTGATTAACATACAAGTGCATGTGTCTTTTGGGTATGACGATCTATATTTCTTTGAATATATACCCAGAAATGATATTGATGGATCAAGTGGTAGCTCTGTTTTAGGTTCTTGGAGAAATCTTCAAACTGCTCTCCACAGTGACTGAACTAATTTACATTCTCACCAACAATGTATAGGCATTCCCTTTCTCAGCAGCCTTGCCAGCATCTGTTATTTGTTGACATTTTAATAATATCCATTCTGTCTGGTGTGAGATAGTATTTATTGTGGTTTTGATTTTCATTTCTCTGATGGTTACTGTTGATAAGTATTGTTTTCATAAGTTTGTTGGTTGCTTATATGTCTTCTTTTGAGAAGTGTCTGTTCATGTATTTTGGCCACGTTTAATGGAGTTTGTTGTTGCTTGTTGATTTGTTTAAATTTCTTATAGATTCTGGATATTTGATCTTTGTTGGACACATAGTTTGTGAATATTATCTCCAATTTTATAGGTTGTCTGTCTACTCTGTTGATAGCTTCTTTTGCTGTATAGAAGATCTTTTGTGTAATTATGTCTCACTTGTGAATTTTTATTTTTGTTGTGATTGCTCTGGAGACCTGGGCATAATATCTGCCAAGGCCAATGTTGAGAAGGGCATTTCCTAGGTTTTCTATAGTTTGAGGTCTCTAATAAGTCTCTAATCTATCTTGGGTTAATTTTTGTGTATAGTGAAAAGTAACAGTCTAGTTTTATTTTTCTGTATATGGCTAGCCAGTTATCCCATCACCATTTGTTGAATAGGATGGGCACAGTGGATCACACCTGCAGTTCCAGCACTTTGAGAGGCTGAGGTGGGAGGGTAAGTTGAGGTCAACAGTTCAAAGACAGTATTAATGAAGTCAAGTTAGAGTGCTTGGTAAAAACCTCAGTCTTTACATAGATGGAGTCTATCAAAATGCAAAACCAAGCCTTCATGATTTCAGAAGTATCAACCAATAATGTAATTGCTTGCTGAAAAAAGAAAGCAGCCAACACACTTCAGAGAATGAAAACCTAACTGAAAGCCTCTGGATTGCATTATCTACATTGTTCAGTATATAATCCAAAATTACTACACATAAGAAGAAACAGGAAAATGTGAGCCATATTTGGGGGAGAAAAGAACAACAAGTAATAGAATAAGACCTGGTAATGTGAGACTTAACAATCAGAAACATTAAATAAACCAGTACTAATATGGGCAAGAATATAAAGGAAAATACTATCATAATAAGTGAACAAACAGTGAATCTCAATTATGAAGTGAAAACAAAAATATAAAACTAAATAAGTATCTCATAATTGAAAATTCCAATATCTGAAATGAATTCAGTGTACTAGAACAGTTAAACTGCACATTGAAGACAGCAGAAGAAAGTTTAGTGAATGCGAAGAGATTAATAAAAGTTATCTTATATAAAGAGAAAAAATAAATAAAAAAGATATAGTGACCTATAAGATAATATCGAGTGGTCTACCATAAGTGGATTAGGGGTCCAAAAAAAGAGATGAGATAGAAGAGCTAGAGAAAGAAGAAAAAAAGCCCACAAAACAAAACAAAACAAACTGAGGAAAAAGAGCCTTAAATCTTGCAAATTTGGTGAATAAAATAAATTTAGAAATCCAAAAGCTCAGCACAATTCAATAGACAAATCCTAATCAAACTATAGAAAAGCAAAGATATTAATTAAAGTAAAAATTGTTAAATAAAGTCATAAGAAGAATACTAATATGAATTAGGCCTGGTTTCTCCTCAAAGATAATAAAAGCCAGAAAAAAATGCAACATCTAAACACACTTAATGGTAAAACAAAATTACCAACCCAGTATCCTAGTCAGGTTAGGCTGCCATAACAGAAATTCACAGACTTTGTGGAGTGGAGGGGAGGGGGGAGGGGGGAGGGATAGCAGGAGATATACCTAATGTAAATGACAAGTTAATGTGTGCAGCACACCAACATGGCACATGCATACATATGTAACAAACCTGCACGTTGTGCACATGTACCCTAGAACTTAAAGTATTAAAAAAATAAGACAGCAATTTTGGTCCAAATTGTTCTCATGCTGTTATTTCTTTAGTTCTCTGAACACAGCTGGGAAAGATTCTCCACTTATACAAACTCAAATGATTAGATTGGGTCCACTGGGATAGTCCAGGATAATCTCCCCATCTCAAGGTTGTTAACTTTAATCATATCTGTAAATTATCCTAGTCATGTAAGCTAACATAGTTACAGTTTCCAAGGACTAGGATGTGGACCTCTGAAAGACTATTGTTCTGCCTATCGCACCAACCTTCCTGTCTTTCTGTTTGCCTGTTCTTGACAGCCAGGCCATGAACAACTTCTCATGAGTGTATATTTGAACTATGCTCCACTCCTCTTTTCATCCAAAGTGTATGAATAGGTCTACAAGCTGATGCTTTGACCATGAGGAAGATTTTTTTTCTCACTACTTTCTTTCAAGATCTTCATTGAGTGGAATTCTACTGTGGTCATTAACCTGTTTTTGCTTGCATCAAAGTATCAGCCAACCAGTCAGGAATTTTTACTACCATATGTCTGAACTGAGCTGTGCAATAGTGGTGGATGACATGAGGCCCGTATAATCTGATGATGTTGCTTGCTTGTGCCTTCAGTTCCTGCTTGTAGTCAATCCTGGCTAACCTATGTCCATCTTAAAATTGGTTATTTCTGGGTCTGTCTCTGACTTGTTGAATTTTATAGAACCCAACTTATGACTCTTCCGGACACATGGTCAATTATGAGGTGTTCTGTCGCTACAGGTGCCCAATGGCAAGCCAAGAGGTATTTTCCTAAAAGATATGCATTTCTTTAAACTGCTGGATAAAGATATGGTTCGGGTTTCTAATTTTCCCATTGGGGCACTTCATAAACTCTAAAGAGTGTATTTTACCACCTCTACCACCATAATATAGTATTATACCTCTAACATTCTGTGGCACAGAGTCTACTGATTGTATGTTCCAAGCTGCAGGGCTGCTTGCATCACAAACTGAACATTCTACACATCCCTTTCTTCTCTGGACTTCATTTAAAGCTAGGAGAGTTTTCTGTCACGATGTGCATTAGTCAGAGCAGTATTCCTAGGAGTAGAATATGCAGAAGAGGACTACTAGGCATTATTGTCCCTTATTGGTTTTGGCATCTTCAATAAATGCAATATATTTTCCTTTATTATGGAGGGGATGACCAGTATGTCCCAGGCCATTGGCACACAAACACAAAAAGTTTTCCTAATGTAGTCTTTTCATTTTCTAAAGTTTTCCTTCCACGATCTGGATTTCACATGCCTTACCAAGGTCATCAATGGGGTAGCCTTTTCTTGCTCCACTAATCATGATGACATCGGTAGAATGGATTAGTATGAAATTCTACAAAATGTCAAACAGGTCCAGATCTCTTTGAACCATATTACCAGCGAAGGTGAAATAATTAACATAACCCTAGAGAACAACTACTTGTTTGCATGTTTGTTTGTTGAAAATAAATAAAATCCACTTTTCTAATGTGAATGTAAAATAACTCATTTGCTAACTAAATAGCTCCATACTCTGCCCCTGAAAATGCAAATGTGCACCTGCAGAAATACCATATCTGCCACAGTACCTGTGATTACGGCTTGGCTAATTAAGATATTTCACTGTCATTATCCAGAATCCATCTGTTTTTTTTTGTTTTTTTTTTGTTTGTTTTGTTTTTTTCAGGAACCAAATTGGTAAATTAAATTGAAATAAGGATGACTACCAACTTGCATTTTTAAGTCTTTAAATATGTCACCAATTTCTGCCATTTTCCCCATTATATGCTATGAAACAAGGCCTGTAATAACAAACCTCATGATATGGTATGACAGAAGGCACAAGCAAGCTACATTATCAGGTAGTACAGGCCTCATGTTTTGATTTACTGTTTTGGAGAGGGAAAAAGGTAAAGAATTGGAGGCTCCTACTTGGCTTTGTTCATTATAATATTTCTTACTCTGCTGTCTACAGATCTGAGCTTTGTGCCTACCAACATGTATGCCTACTCTAATGAGAAATTCAGTGGCTGGGCAATGAACACCTTGTATCTTCATAAATCCCATGAACTCACTCACTGTGAGCTAGATCCAAGCCAAAACTATTTATATTTGGCTCCAATATATTCTCATATAACCTAGAGCCATAGTGGCCCTTCTAATCTCCAGACATAAATGACAACATTGACTCTATGTCCAATAGTACTTAAAATATTTGAGTATCTCCTTTTTCTTGAGGTACCTGAATACATATATTTATGTACTTTTTAACATGTATTATGAGACTCATTACTGAGTAGACCTGCCTTCTCAGTAAAATCTTCCTTTTTGGGATCAGACTTTTTTTTCAAGCAATGAGTTCTGTGTATAAAAATGGGTTCTAGTTCAGAAACTGAGAAAGAACTAGGCAGTTTTTATTGGAACAACTATCTCAGCCTCATGATCATCCCTTGAATTCTTACTGATTGATTGATCGATTGATTGATTGACTGATTGACATGGAGTCTTACTCTGACACCTAGGCTGGAATACAGTGGCACGATCTCAGCCCAATGCAACCTCTGCTTCCTGGGTTGATGTGATTCTCCTGACTCCCAAGTAGCTGGGATTACAGGCATGCGCCACTACATCTGGCTAATTTTTGTATTTTTCGTAGAGACTGGGTTTCACCA
Source organism: Homo sapiens (assembly GCF_000001405.40). Taxonomy (NCBI): domain Eukaryota; kingdom Metazoa; phylum Chordata; class Mammalia; order Primates; family Hominidae; genus Homo; species Homo sapiens. The sequence continues at coordinate 164,541,095 of NC_000003.12, read as the reverse complement.
TGTTGGCCAGGCTGGTCTCAATCTCCTGACTTCGTGATCCACCTGCCTCAGCCACCCAAAGTGTTGGGATTACAGGCGTGAGCCACTGCAACCTGACCCTTTGAATTCTTTAATGGTAGAACTCGAGATACGCTCACAATTGTTATCATCCTATTTTGTTCCTATATATGTTTTTGTCCATTATTTTGTGTCAGACCAATTTGACTGTTTCTCCAACTTGCCATACCAAAGTTTTGAAATCAAAGACTTTGCCCACATGGCTTTTGAGGATTTGATTTCAATGTGACATTTATTGCTGCAGTTCCTATTACCCCCAGTGCTGTTAGTGAGCCCAGTTGTGCAACAGGATCTCCCACCATTAGCTCCAGGTTTCAGAGAAGCTACCACTGACGTTTTAGTGATGATGGTGCCCCTCTCATCAGCATAGGTCTTATTGCTTTGGGAAATGATGTGTTTTCCATGTCATTCATGGGAATGTAGTCACCTGGGCATTTTCTAGCCTTACAGATTGTATCCAATCTCATATGCCCACTTCTCTGAGCATTTTAATTCCTTCTTCCAACATTTATTTTTGTAATTCTGGCATTTCACCTCACTTAAAGGGGCCAATGGATTTCTTTATACATTTAGGAGCCTCCCCAGAATCATGTTCATACCATCTCTCAGTGTCTTTCTCAGTATGTTAAATCCTGTATCCTGGAAGAGTTCTGCTATGTTAATAAATCATAATGTATCCAAATGTATGCTTCAGTCCCTCTATTTCAAGACTCTTGGAAGTCAAAAATATGTGCACTCTCCAGGACCCTAACAGTACATCTTGGCTAGCTCTTGCAGTTTCTTCATGTTATGGTTCCTTTTCTTCCATCAGGCTCACCATGCTTCTGCCAAGATTCGGTTAAGACTTAATTATACTTAATAGCCTAATGTCCAGGAAGAAGGGAAGGTAGAGGCATATTATGAGTGGGGGCCTATTATCTTTCAGAAAAGAGTTATCTTCTTTTTATTTAAACAAGATGTGTATGGAAGTAAGGGTAGAGGGTGATGAAATGCTGTCATTAATGAAGAGTAGATTAATGGATAGGTAGTTCAGAGGAATCAAGAGCTTCAAGATTTGGGTGCATCAACCTAGATATTTCTACATCATGATTCAAGATCCTATTCTTTCTGACTAGAGATCTGATTTTGGCATAACAGATCTTCTTTGGTTGGACTTTTAAGCTTGTTTGAAATTTGGTTACTCTTACAATAAATTCCTAGTCTTGATCTTATCTTTTATCTGCCTGGTACATGCAGATGATAAAGTCTTTAAATGAGACAAGTGAGGCCCTGTGGCTTTCACAATTGGCTTTAAATAAACAATTTACTGTTCTCTCTCATCTTTTTGTTGTCCTTTTCTTGAACATCAGGTGATCTTAACAATACCTTTACAATTCTACTGTCCTTACAGTTACATTTTTCCCCTGCCATGTAATTCTGAAAATCTTGATACATTGCACAGTTTAGTGCATTTTTCTTTCAGATGTGCCTCCTTAGTTCATTATGAGTGAAAATTTTAACAATTGTGTTTTTGTGTCAAGATATCTGTGCCCTAGCTACCACTAGTTATCTGGTTCTCATGCTGAAGAGGTGCCAGGAACACTGCCAAAATCCAATCTGAGTAGTTGCTTTCTCCAATCGCTTCTGGTACCAGGTGTCACAGCAGGTTGAGTTTCACAGGAAGCAGATGGGGAGCTCTGAACTCTGTCCCACAGAGCCGTCCCAAATTGGGATAAGGTAATGAAGCATTTTACTACAGCATTTCATTCAGTCCCTGGTTTAGAGCTGTCCTGGAAAAGCAAGGCAGTTTTCCTCAGTTGAAGGAATTCCAAAAGAAATCTGATAGCTGAGGGCCGTCTCCTAGCTTCATTACAAACAGCTAAAAATGAAGATCAAGGCAGTGCCTCACGGAGTACTTTTTACATAGTAATTTAAAAATTATTTAAATTTAGCCTTATAGGCTCAACTGAGGCTCTATTAAGATGATAAAATGCAATACAAATATTTTTATCTCTGAAAATGAAAATATGAGAAAACATTGACAGAGATGGTGATGTAGAAGGGGAGAGAAAGGATGGAAAAAGAGTATATCTCATACCCTCAAGTTTCATGATGAGTCATGATATGGATGAAGATGTGGAATATGAAATTTTAAAATTGAATATATTAAAATAGCAATATAATTATAAAAATTGAAGGAAGAAAGAAAGAGAGCTGAATGGGAGTTAAATAAGGCAGCAAAAATGTCATTTTTTAGAATAGGATATCAATGTTATCTTGCCTTAACTGATAAAGCAAAATTGATTTATTAGTATATGAATTAGAGTTATGAAAGTAAGCCACACACCAACTTAGAATAGAGGCTTTTACAATAATTAAAGTTTAAGGAGTGAATGGAAATGGGGGTTGGTAGGACAGAAGGTTGACTCTTTTCATACCAGATTTTTCTGTTTGTATCTATCTTGTCTGTGTTTTGAAAGCAATGTGTTAATATGTACTCTAAAGATAAAGCAACACTTGTTTTGAGAAAAGAATATTTGTAATTATGCAAGATAAGTTAAAGTATTTATTAAAGATTTAGTGTTCGATAGCATTGCTAGAGGCTATGAGGAACCTAGTTAACATACAAAGTTAATTTATAGTTAATTACTCTGGATGTTGAATATGTAACACCAATGTTAAGAAGAAGATGAAAATATTACATACATAAAACCACAAAATACGTTGTGGTCTTGGCACAGATCATTTAATCAGGTGAGGTTTATATTGACACTTTCAGCTTCCATTTGTATCTTACTCTCTTCCCCAGTACTCATCTCATCTCTTTCATCTCCTTGAAACTTTCTGTTTAGAGAGTTTAAAATTATATGTAATACCTTGAGTAAGATAAGACAATTTCTAAAGAGTTAGCTCTAGTGGATAGGGTAACGTGTGTGTGTGTGTGTGTGTGTGTGTGTGTGTGTGTGTGTATGTGTGTGTGTGCCTGTATGCATATATATATCACAAATAAGAAAACCTGTCATCTGAATCCTCACCAATTAAGAATAAAGGAAAGTAGTTTTAAGTATTAATGTGATCTCCTCTGTAGTAATATGTTGCTTTTGTAAAGTTCAGAGCTTCATATTTTTTAGGTATCTAGGTTTTTAGTTTTTCTTATTAAATTGTTGGTGTTTCTATTTTATTTTTTTCCCAGTTCATAGACTCAAATTTTTTTAATGTGAGTTTCAACAAATGATAATGGCAAACAGAACTTTCTGCTACATCAGAACTACTGCTATGCAAATTGAGGGCACAATACCAGAAAGTCAAAAAAATGCAGAAATAATCCACAAATGCTTTGTGAATAAAGCCCTTAATCATGGTTAATAGCTATGCCATCTGTTCTCTAGCCATGCAATGCTTTTTATCAAAAAAATGACTGATATGAATCATCCTTATTAGAGAAGAAATGTTAAAAAGCCACATGAAGTAAGGAAGTTCTTTTTATTCTTTTAAGTTTTCCTCCTCTGCAGAGGAAAAAAATGAGTTAAAGACACAACACAAAGTTTATAGTTAAATAAAATAATTCAATGAAAATTAATTTTTAAATAGGGGAGAAAACTGAGCAGTAATTCACTTTCAAATATGAACCAATATTTTAAGAATAAGGAATAAAATCATGCATTAATAACAAATCTCAGATAATTGTGGCTACATTTGTTGTTTTCCTTGAAAGAGCAAATTTGCCTTTGAAAATAATAAATTAGATCAATGTTTAATATAGATGTTTCAGTATAACTTAATGAAACTGACATAATAAAAATCCTTTTTCTAATTGGGTGAACTCTTGACCAATAACTATAGAATGCTCTTTTCCCTTGCACTTATGAGTAGATATATTCCTATATATGGTGTGTGTATATATATATATATATATATATATATATATATATATATATATGTATATATATGTATACACACAAACATTTTATACTTATTATAGTAGACATATAAAATATATCTATATTATAAAATATAGATATAAAATATCTAAATATTTTAAACTTATATATGTGTGTATGTGTGTATATGTAAATATATATATATATTTTATATATATATATATATTACTAATACTTACATAAATTCAGGACTGGCACCAAAGCACCGGGCTGGTAACAAAGCATAATAAAGAAATAGAATTCATGTCCTTTGCAGGGACATGGCTGAAGCTGGAAACCATCATTCTCAGCAAAGTAACACAAGAACAGAAGACCAAACACTGCATGTTCTCACTCAGAAGTGGGAGTTGAACAATGAGAACACCTGGACACAGGGAGGGGAACATCACACTCTGGGGCCTGTTGGTGGGTGGAGGGCTAGGGGAGGGATAGCATTAGGAGAAATACCTAATGTAGATGACAGGTTGATGGGTGCAGCAAACCACCATGGCCTGTGTATACCCATGTAACGAGCCTTTACGTTCTGCACATGTATCCCACAACTTAAAGTTTAATAATAAAAAAAGAAATAGAATCAGCATGAAATACACTAAGGGTCATCCTATATGTGAGCTGGCAGAAATTGGCAGCAGTTCATCAAACTAAGGCTCAAGTACATAATATAATAAAAATTGCCAAATCCAGATTATGGAAAATTTTATAAAGTGGTTTGTGAATAGAATACAATAAAATAATAGAATAGGATAGAACATAATAGAATAGAATAGAATAGAATAGAATAGAATAGAATAGAATAGAATAGAATAGAATAGAAAACAGAATAGGAAATTCTAAAACTCTAAAAGCTCTTTGGAAGTCCTTTAGATGCCTAGATAGTTCCAAAATAGCTTGTTGTATGACAGTAGGAAAATGCTCTAAATGTTTTCACCATCATCATCTTAAACTTACCAAACAGATCCAGGACTTTTGTTGAATGCTGTGGCTAAAAATGGCTTTATTTATTTTGTGTTAACTTAATTATTAGAAGACTAAAACGACATCTTCATCTGCTCAAGAATGTTCTGTTATATGTCATACAAGAAAAGCAAAATTTCTAGAGTAATTTGGGAATTATTAAAATTTAAATGTCTCATTCTTAATAATTAGAGGCTTATCTTTACAATCAAACAATTCGTACACTGTGCAATTGACTCAGATAAAGGTTTTACCTTTCTAGTTTGACATTTACTCATTCATTTGTATGATTGAAACCCCACTTCTTTTATGCCACAAAAGATACAATGCCACTGATACATACACATAAATTTACTAAGCATAGTCATACTGTTTCTTCTTCTCATTTACCTTTCTGGATTCCATTTCAACATTAGCATTTGCGTAGTTTTAAGTACTTATATAAATATTCATGAAACGAATATTCTCCCTAACTATTGTGTATCATTTGCACTGTTGCCACAAACATATTTTTAAACTGGCTATAATCTGTAAAAGACAATATTCTTCATAGTTATTATTTAATATTAACAAATTTATTAATTTGATTGACATTATAAAAATAATTAGCAAATTTTCTCTTTTCATTTGCAAAAGCAGTGAGTACTCTTTTACTTATGAGTAACAGAGGTCCTGAGAAACATAACAATTTGCCAAATGTCTGGGACAGAAGTAGCAGATGCACAAATGCTTAGATTTTTTAAATTATTGTTTTAATTCTATCAATTTCATATTAGGCTACAGAAGAATAATTACTAGAAGTATGTAATGGAAAATGGAAAAAGATACAATTCAAGCAAGTAGTTCACACAAAACTTTTTCTCCATTAATATTGATAAATTAACAAGCACAATAATCACATGGTCTTTGGATCATGTTTTGTTTTACAATTTCTTTCTGAACTACTGCACAGCCCTTAAAGATGCTGATCCCATCTGTGACAGTTAAGTAGAATATTTTTTCATTACGTATGTCTAACTAGGATAATTTAAAAAAATGGAAAAATGCTCCCTGAATTTTCTTTTAGATTAGGAAAATGAACTACATCATTTGCAGAAAACTATTGTCATAAGAAATATGATTTAAAAGATTTTCAAAAATTTATTATACAAAATCTGGAGATACGTTGGCGACTTTCTATTAGCTTAAAGTTTATTCTAAAAAGGCTTTAAAATATGTGCAATGAAAACTCATCTATGAAAAACATCTTACATTTTAAATAGGCCCTTTAGATATCTACATATTGAGTAATCATATTATTCCAACCACCATGTCTGTGTCTATTAGCACAATAAATTTGATTAACAGGATATTTAGATGAGAAAAACTTTTACACTGTGCATAAGTAATAATGGGTTTAAAAATTTGTGTTTAAATCTGGAAGATAAAATGAATGTTTCTCTTTAGATTTGATTTAAGTGAGCTGATAAACTGCCTTTTAAAAATTAGAAATTTAGTCTCTTCAGAACGAAAATGGAATACTTTACAATTTAAATGTATTTTAAAATATTTCACATGAAATAGTCTAGGACAATTTCAGGATTTAGAATATTATAAACCATGAAATATGTGATACAAAACAAAACATCACAGACTTCAGAAAATAGAAGTGCTAGTTCTAAACATTAGAGTATTCCCCAGCCAATGTCTGCATGTTATTCTGAAGAAGATAAATCAATATATTATGTAATACAATTAGTATAGAGATAAAAGGCATAGATCAAAATGATGAGATTTTTATGAGATAGTGCTTATTGTTTGCCAGCAATGCATGATACAGTCAAGCCAAGGACAGCATCCAGTTTCTAGGCTGTAAAAGATTATTCATTCAGAAAACAAAGGAATATTTATGTTATCAACATGCTAGCCATAAGGAATGCAACATGTCTCATTAGTAAATGCAAAATGAATTTAATTGCTATTCCACCTCAAATATCCATTTTAGTATGGAAGTTCTAGGGGAAACAGATGATTACAGGTGTCTATAATTGCAAACTCTAGTAGAAAGACATATTTGTCAGAAAAATATTCATGTTATAGTCAACTGAATAATTATTTATACTATTTATGAAATGAATTACAATAAGACCTGGGACATTTAAATGTAATCTAAATCACTATCCCTGAAATGCACTTGTATATAACACAAAAATAAAAATGGTCAATATAAATAAAGGAGTACAGGTAAAATTGACTAATTATCAGAATAAATAGGACACATGTTATATATAATAGGTGCTCAAGGAGGGAGAAATTAGCATGAGCTAGAGCACTATTTACCAATGTGTCATTCTTCATGGACAGTCTTCACAGATTTAGTAATAAGCACATATCACCTGTTCTCTTATTGACTTTGAATCTACACACAATAAATATTTAATTGATTCAAATTTATTTTTCATGCATTTAAAAAAACAGATTAATGTGGCTTATTTTGGGGGAAAATTTTGCCCAAACATTTTGAGGCATTATTAGTGTTAAAAGTAGAATTCTCCATAGACTGACTTCTTTTCACACAAAAACACTCACACTCACACACATTTTGGGATGGAAGCAAATAATTGGCAGGAAACTATAAACATCACTGCAGTCAATGAGAAGTAGCATTACCTCAATTGCAAATATTGACAATATCCTGACTAACAGGACACTCAGCCCTGTGTGATTCGCAGAGGAAACAAAGATGCAAACGCCGATAATGAGCTGATACTCCTAAGAGGAACTGAAGTGATCTGAGATTATTGGTGCAATTGTTACTAGCAAAAGCCAAAGTACATCTGTTTTGGAGGAAAACTTTTCCAACTTGGTCCACAGGCTATCCACAGATTGTGATAAAGCAATAAGTTGAAAATCATAAAGTCAATAAACATAAGATTTATGCTGGTAATAATTATGCCTAGAAATAATTGATTTATTATTTATGCCAGTCAGCCAAAACAACCAACAGTCCTAGCTCCTCACTATAAACTGCATATTTTGGAATTATCAGATACAGGTTTTATAACAAATGCATAAAATGTTTAAGTATATAAAATACACAGTTGCTAAGTGATAATGAGGTATTACTAGGAATTAAGTGTTATATAAGCAGTCTTGAAGAGGAAAGTAATGAACTGGAAGAAACAACTAAAGAACACCATATGAAATAAATGAATTGGAAAATATTTAAAAGAACATTAAAAAGAATACCTTGACTATAAGTCCTCAAGAGAGAATGAAGGAGAGGCAATGTTTAAGAAATAATAGTTTTTTAAGAACTTGTTTAATATGTGAATCTGCAGATCAAGTATGCACACTCTATCCAAAAATAATGAAAATAATATATAGCCACTTATAAATAATGTGGAACACCAAAGACAAAGCAACTATTTTAAAATAACCAGAGAGAAAGAAGAAGTTATGTACAGCAAAACAACAATTAGAATGATAGTGGACTTTTTGAAAGCAACAACGGAGTCAGAAGACAAAAACATTGGTCTCTGACTGTAAAAAATATCAACAGATAATGAAACCTAAAGAATTTACCCCAGCAATTGGTTTCAGACACAAGAAATCATGGTGGCCGGGTACAGTGGCTTACGCCTGTAATCTCAGCGCTTTGGGAGGCCGAGGTGGCTGGCTCACTTGAGGTCAGGAATTTGAGACTTAACTTACGTGGCCAACACAGTGAAACCGCATTTCTACTAAAAATACAAAAATTAGCCTCGCATGGTGATGCATGCCTGTACTCACAGCTACTCAGGAGCCTGATGCAGGAGAATTAATTGAACTCGGGAGGTGGTGATTGCAGTGAGCCAAGATCATGCCACTGCGCTCCATTCTGGGCAACAGCAGGATAATCTGTCTCAAAAAAAAAAGAAAAAAAAAGAACTGATATAATAAAATAGTAAAAGCATATGCAAATCATAAAATATGTGTTCTTATAAATGTGTTTTGAGGAATATAAGTATATCTTTCTGTGAAATATGAGTACAACTGCTGGGTCATAGGATATGATTACATTCAACTCTAGTAAATAGTATAGTGCTAAGCAAATTTCCAAAGCAGTTGTATCAGTATATACTCTTTGTAGTAGTACATACTACTGTCTCTCTTCTATTTATTTATTCATTCATTCATTATTCATGCTGGTGAATATGTAATGATATAACGTTAGTTTTAATTTGCATTTTCCTGAAAACAGATAAAGTTGATTGTTACTGTTTTAATTTTTATTTTCTTCCAGATTACTAAAGTCAACACTACCCAAATGTCCATCAAAAATAAAGTGGATAAATTCATTGTGGTGTATTCATACACTGAAATACCATTCATCAGTAACATGAATCAATAAGTACATACAATTACGTGTATGAATTTTGCAAACATAACCTTGAAGGAAAGATGTCAGAAACAAAGTATGCACTGTTTGAATTTGTTTATGTAATGTTGAAACAAAGGCAAAAATAATCTATAATGTTAAAAACCAGAGTATTGGCTATCCTTGGGGAGGCAGTAGGAGGCAGGGAATGGTGATGAAGACACAGGTAATATTTCTATATCTTGATAATTGTGACAAAAGTGTGTTTACTTTTTGAAAAGCCATCCAACTTCAATAGCAAAACACCAAAAAAAAAAAAAGACAGATGTTACCAAATTTGCTTATAAGAAATTTAGTTATTTGTTTTTCATAAAATATAAATAGAAAATACAAAATAAATTAAAATCAAAGTCTGGGATATGGAATATATAATAAATATTACCCAAAAGAAATCTGTATATTCAAATAAAATAAACTTTAAAATATAAAACATTAGTAGGGATAGAAGTAGTAAATAACAATAAAATAAAGTAAAATTTGAGAAAATTAGAAGAAAACATTGACAAGGCTTTATTATGTGAGAAATGTGAACAAAATCTTTTTAAATTATTGAAAATTAAATCATAGAAGAAATATGCAGTAAATTTAAAGAATTAATTTACCTCATCTAATAGGTTTATATAGAACTCTGACCCCAACAGTTAGAACATATCTATCCTTTCATTAATTATTTGTATAAATTCATAAACTCAATAAAACAAATTTCTAATAATACCATTTAGAACAGGTTCTGTGAACACAGTACATTGAAGCAAGAAGTGAATAAGAAAAAGAAGAAAATAACACCATAAAACTTCAGACACAACAAAAAATCTCCATAGTAAAAAAAATACATCTTAATACAATTAATAAAACATTTAGAAATATCAAATTACAATACAAATTATGTGATTTGTAGGAAGTGGTAGTTAGAGGGAAATATCTATTTCTAAATGCATATATTAATAAGAATAAAGGCTAAAAATTAATGATTTAACTTTACAACCTCAGAATTTAACTGAAAAACAAGCAAACAAACTAAAAAGAAATAAGAAAATAGAAAACAAAGATGAAATCAAGGGAATTTACAAAGCTAAGTTTGTTCACTTAAAATTTTCATAAATAAAATATAAAACAGTGACATTATTAAAAGCAAAGGGGAATTTCCCTTTCTTTCCCTCCTCTTCTGCCTTTCTTAAACAATTCAATCCAGTAGCCATCATGTGAGGCTGAGCAAAGTAGTTGTCTGTGCCAAGGGAGAAAAGAAAGCTATTGTGACCCAAGGAAAGGTGTTGGAGTCCAAGGAGGGTGAGAAAGGCATGCCTGAAGAACAAGGGATGGTAGCATGGCTAGCATGTTAGAGTCCCTGCATGGTTAAGAGAGCTTCTACATGGTGACATGGCCCAGCTACACGATGAAAAGTGTCCCTGCTTTATGGCAGCCTGAAGGAGGTAGTGGTGAGGGATCTGAGCTCAGACTAAGTGAGGAGAGAGTCTGCATGTGTACACACATGCACACATACGCACACACATTTCATAACTTTTATTCCACTGAGTGAACCTAGAAGCAGCCAAAACTCAATTGCAATGAATATGTCCAGTGTCAGATCTCAGTTTCTAAATACCAAGGTCTACAAACAGGAACCAGATATACTTGAAGAAATTATAGATTCCAGAACCAGAACAATAAGAGCAGCAAAAGACCACACTGGTTTATCTTATACCAAAAAGTAAGAAAGTGTTCAAAATGTAATAGGAACATGTTGTAGAGTGCAAAATTCAGGTTGACAGGCCCCTACTGGCCAAAATCTAGAACATTTGACCACCATAATAAATTATTATAGTGTGGTGGGTTGAATAGCATCCCCCTTCCAAACTGTATGCCCTCCTGGAACCTCAGAATGTAAACTTACTTGGAAATAGGGTCTTTGCTGACATAGCTAGTTAGGTTGAGTTGAGGTCAACAAGATTAAGGTGCGCCTTAAATTCGATTAGTGGAGTTCTTATAAGGAGAGAAGTTAACACAAACAGATAAACACAATGAAGAAAAGCATATGATGATGAAACTTGAGATTGGAATAGTGTAGTTACAAGCCAAGGAAGACCAAGGGTTGTTAAGAGCAACCAGAAGGAAGGAATAACTGAGAAGGTGGCCCACAAACATTAAAAAATGCTCAACATCACTAATCATCAGAGATGCAAATCAAAACCACATTTTGATACCATCTCATACTAGTCACAGTGGCTACTGTTAAAAAGTCAAAAAAATAACAGATGCTGGCAAGGCTGCAGAGAAAAAGGAATGCTTATATACTGTTGGTGGGATGTAAATTAGTATAACCTTTATGGAAAACAGAATGGAGATTTCTCAAAGAACTAAAAATAGAACTACCATTTGACCCAGGAATCTTATTGCTGTGTATATACCCAAAAGAAAATAAATCCTTCTATCAAAAAGACATATGCAGTCATATGTTCATTGTTGTGCTAATCACAAGAGTAAAGACATGGAATCAACCCAGGTCCCCATCAATGGTGGACTGAATAAAGAAAATGTGGTTCATGTACACCATGGAATACTCCACAGCTATAAGGAAGAATAAAATCATCTACTTGGCAGCAACATGGATGCAACTGGAGGCCATCACCCTAAGTGAATGCAGAAACAGAAAACCAAATACTACATGTTTTCACTTGTAAGTGGGAGCTAAACCTTGGGTACACATGGACATAAGACAGGATAAAGAAACACTGGAGACTCAAATAGGAGGGAAGAAGGGAGGGTGGCAAGGTATGAAAAACTTTCTGAAGGTACTCTGTTCACTATTTGGGTGACAGGATCAACAAAAGCCCAAACCTCAGCATAATGTAATATTCCCTTGTAACAAACCTGCACAAATACCCCGGAAGCTAAAATAAAAACTGAATTTTTTTTTAAAAAAAGCAAGAAAGATTTTCCTTTACCTTTAGAATAATCATGGCTCTTCTTCCAGCTTGATTTTGGACTTCTAAATTCCAAAATTATGAGAAAATAAATTTCTCTTGTTTGAAACCACCTAGTTTTAAGTACTTTGTTCAGCAGCCCTCAGAAATTAATACAGATACGAACAGATGATAATCTACTGAACGAAATGCAAAATCATGACTTCATGATGATATGAGCAAATAAACATATACACTGAAATTTGAAAGGGAATGGAATATTTACAGAGTCTCAAATTACAACCTCTCACACACATTTAAATTATTTATTTATTAATTGCAGAGGGGAAAATGTAATATTACAAAAGGAAACCTGGCAGACATTATTTTAAATTTTTAAATTTAACAATAGTAATCAGATAAATCAAGATCACATACCATCAGATAGATTGCTATGAGAATAAAATAGCGCTTCTGTGTTGTTTCTGCTAAAGATGAATAACCTGAATCTATTCACAAAGAAATAAGACAAAGTCCAAACTAAAGAACATTCTATAAAATAAGTGCCCTGTAACATTTAAGCGTCAATGTCACGGATATTAAGAACCTGCTAAAAAAACTATCTCTGATTCAAAGAAACTAAAGTGACATTTTAACAAAGTGTAACATTATTATGAACTAATATTTGAGCTATAAAGGATAATATAAGGACAATGAGTAAAAGCTGAAGGGAGTAAGAGGATTAGATATTAGTAATATATCAGTGTTAATTTTTAAAGTTTGATGGTTGTACAGTGACTATGTGAGAGATCATCATTGTAGAAAATACATACTAAACTATTCAGGAATGACAAAGCATTATGTTAGGAAATTACTCTCAAAATGTTCAGGAAAAAATATTTATTGTTTGTATTGCACTCGAAGCTTTTCTAAGTTTGAGGTTTCAAAATTTTTTTTAAAATAAAAAAGCCACATTTATTCATCATTTATACACCCTAGACATCTATTTATTGAATAATTATAATATTCCAGGTGCTGTTCTGGACAATTGAGGTACAACATTAGACAAAGTACGCAAAAATCCCTCTGCTCATGGATACGTTAATTTTCCGATTCATAGATATGAATATTGCAATTGCTTCACTAATTTTTCTGTATGTGGCAAGCTAGTGAATGATTTTCAGCTCTCAGAATAGTCATTTGTAACTAATCATTTATTTACTTATAATAAGAAATAAAACTATGACTAAGTAATACATTGCAATATTTAATTATAACAGGAAATAAAATTAATGAATAAATAACATATTATTATAGATATATTAACAGGAACTATAGCCATAGTGATAGAGCTCTTGATGGGTGTGTGTGTGTGTGTGATTCGTTACTACATAATAAGAGAATGGATTAACATATTTTCAATAATATAACTAACTGAATTATCTTTTTAACCAAATTTTCTTATTTCAAGCATATATGTCAAAGACTGATATATTAGTGTATATAGATATGTATTTTGTCAGATAAGGTATTTTATTGGATCATCAAAATAAATAAAATTTTATATATTCATGAAGAGTAAGACTTCAGATAATCATAGTTTGTTACAAGTATCTGAATGGAGAAAGAACCAGCTAGTGCTTCAATAACTCACTGTTATTAATCCCTATGAATTCATGACAAAATAATATAAGGCCAATATGTTTGCATTATTAAATAATAAATGTATGCATTACTATGCATGAATGCTTTATAAATTTTCATTATTATCTATTTTTTGGATTGCTACTTAATAAAATATATGCCCTCTCTGCTTTCACTGCTTTTAATGTGGGGTAACTTATTGCTCCTGCTTTGTGGATAGCATTCATAGGATGATAAAGGCACTGATAATTATAAGAAATACTATGAAACTATAATTTATCTAGAAGATAATTAACTGTTTATTTATATAAAATATAAACTTGATTATTTACCTCATAGCCAACTAAAAAATAAGTTGATCTACAATGAAGTTATGGAGGAAAGAGAACAGTATCTTAAAATAAAATGTAAATCTTGTTAATGAAGCTTTGCCTTAACTATCCTCATAGAACTTACAGCTATTTAAAAAATAGAAGCAACTTGTGTCTATTTATATAGCTAGATAAAAAATTGCTTTTGCACCAACTTTATTGAGGGCTGAGAAATACAACTGCTCATATTTGACCCTGAAGTAGCTTTACTTTTCCTGAACAAACACCTCTGAGCTATATTTCTTGAGGAAGCATGTATCTTCCTCCCTGCAAGTTCATATAATTGAGGTGAGTATCATCATCCTTGCAAAGGTCTGTGAAAACTGAACTCTGTAGTCCAGGAATGACTGAGGAAACACCGTGATTGACACCTGCTCTCTAATCTCAATGGAACTGATGAGCTTCCAGGGTGTCATAAGCTAAGTGACAGTACTTAATTACCAGAAATATGGTTTACACAATTACTGTAATGGACTACAGGGATGAAGTGTCAACCTGACGGTTTTGACTTCAGAGGTATGGTAGCTAATTGATGGCCATGTTTCTAGAAAATACTTGAGAAGCTTTCAAATGTATTAGGTATGTTTAGTAGGAACACAAAATTAGTCCATAATTTGAGATGCAGTGCCTCGAACGGCCAAAATAAATGTTTTAACCAAGTCATAGACTCAGCTATTGATTGAAAGAATCACTGGGACCAATTCAGAAATTGCCTTGTAACATTATCACAAATATTTACCGTAAAACTTTTTCCAGGTCTTCTCTTAAATTCCTGAGGTAATTTACTAGGCAATTATGCCAGAAAAAGAAAAAAATCCAGAGTTTGGAAGATGACACTGTGATCTACCAAAGTAAAGCTTTATGAAGCTCAAGAGATAAATACAATTTTGACTTAAATATATTTTTGTGTGATCTGTGTTTATTCCCCATGGTCCTGAATGACTAACTGAAATTGGAATATGTGAAAAATGGCAGAATTTCCTAATTGATTACTTAACATTTGAAATAAGGACTATTATAGCAGAAGGGTTAAAGGAAAGTCTTAAGAACTTTTCCTAATAATAAACTATACAGCATCACATAATGGGGAAATTCCTAAGATTAGTCTCACTTCCACAATCACCAGTTATTTAAAATATTAAAAGTAGTGATTTCTATCACATGCCTGTTTAACTTCAGCTTGGCCTAATCAGAAGGCATATGAATACTGGAGATTAATTGTGTATTATTGTGAACATAATCAGATAGTGATTCTAATTTTAGTTTCTGTTCCAGATATATAATTTTTTCTTGAACAAATCAATAGAGTTTCATCTACCTGATGTAAATATATTGAACTGACAAATACTTTTTTCTCTATTTGTAGAATCTACCAGAAGCCATTTACTTTTTCTAGCAAAAACAGAGGTAAACCTTCCTTCTCTTGCCTCTTGTCAACTCTTTTGCTTTCTTTCATGATGTAGTTTTAGAAATTATAATTGCTTGGACGTACAACAAAATAAAATGCTGATCTATTATATTGAAAACTGATTGAACATCATGAATCTTGATATGTCTGGCAGATAATTAGAGATTAATCATTTTATCATCACCACCTTGGTGAAATTTCTAAGAGATTTCATTTTTGGAATCACTCCCTACAAAATGAAGTGCAAGTTGTTGTGCCATGACTACCACTATATTGCTCCTATCATTATAAATCACTGTCAAAACCTCACTCAATGAGGTTATTTGGATGTTAGAGGCACATTTGAGTGTGTTGCTCTGACCCACTTACTGAATAACAAAAATGACTGCCAGCAGGACTAAGGGAGTGCCTCAGTGAGAACCTTGGCAAATCCTCTTACCAAAAACAAATGTAAAATCTGACAAAGTTGTCCAAAACAACCATTTAAAGAGACTGTATCATTGACCAAAGGCATATACCAAATCAAGAAACATTTATTTAAAAACAGTGAGTGGTTGTGGCATATTACCGAGGAACTACTCCTAGTTCCAGCTTTCAGCCCCAGCTCTTTGACAAAGAAGTTCTACCCAGGAGAGTAGGGTAGCGCAGCCCACAGAGAATGGAATAGTTTTTTCCCTGATGGAGCAGGCCAACTTTACTGGAGCAAACCATGTACATTCCATGTGCAGAGGTGCTGATGAAAATAAGTGATTTCAGTGACAAAAATGAGGGAAGGCTTATTTTGCAGATTATCTTGTGTTATTAAGTAGGCAGAGGGAAGCAACAGAAAGGAAAATAAGCCTGAAATTTAACAGGAATATCTGAGATATAAGATTGCCAGAGAATCTTGCTGAAATCCCATTTATTGGGCTGGTCAGAAAAGCTGCATGCATGCATGTACAAGGCTGCACATTTACTGGAGCTGGCCCTAGTGAGTTAGTCATCATTGGCTAAATGTGAGGCTAAATGTGCATTTGTGTATCCAGAGTAAACTAGGGCAGACCTGTCACCTGCCTGAACTTTGAACCACTCCCAAACACATACACAGAAATTCATCAGATAAGGATGGAAGCCCTACTTGCCCAGCATCTCTAAGTAAAATCCTTGAACACACAATGACAGACCATTAAGTTATAATGACCCATGAGTAACCCCTAAACATATAGACTTAAAAATAAACATCAAAATTAAAGAAAAATCTTAGTGGAAACATTAGAAGTTGCAAACTTCAAAAGAAACTGACTTCCAGATACAGTCCAGGAAAGTTACTACACAAATTAAAAACAAACAAAAATAGCAATAAGTATTCTTATAATTGTATGCATGGGGGTGAGGAGTAGAATCCATGGATGTTGCAATATATTACATAAAAAGCTGACTTTTAATAAGAAATTATTGGACATGCAAAAAAAAAGAGTGCTCCATATATAAGAAATACAGTAATCAATAGAAACTGCCTTTTGAGGGATCTACATGTTGAATTTAGCAGACAAAATCTTCAAAGTAAATGTCATAAACATGTCCAAAGAACCAAAGGAAAGTATGAGAATTAAATGGAAGAAAGATGACAATTACTCATCGAACATAGAATATCAATAAAGAGATAAGGAAATATAAGAAAGGACCAAATGGAAATTCTGGAGATAGTGCACAAAAAGTGAAATGAGATGCTCAATTAGAATGACTCATCAGCAGATATTAACTGGCACATAAAGAATCAGTGAACTTGAAGATAGATCAACAATGTGTACAAAGTTTTCTATACTTTCTGTAGAATAGAAAGTATATGAATTGGATGGGAGTGGTGGCTTACTCCTCTAATCCCAGCATGTTGGGAGGCCAAGGTGGGCGGATCACCTGAGGTCAGACGTTGGAGAAGAGCCTGGCCAACTTGACAAAACCCCATCTCTACTAAAAATACAACAATTAGCTGTGCATGGTGGTGTGTGCCTGTAATCCTAGATACTCGGGAGGTTGAGGTAGGAGAATTACTTGAACCCTGGAGGGGGAGGTTGCAGTGGGCCGAGATTGTCCCACTGCACTCCAGCCTGGGAGACAGTGCAAGACTCCATCACACACACAAAAAAGTACATGAACAAAATAAATCCAAAAGCTCAGAGATCTGTGGCCATAAGTATCAACATATACATAATAGGTTTCTCAGAATTAGTGAAGAGAGAGGAATAAGCAGAAGATATATTTGAGGAAATTATGGATCAAAACTCCCCAAATTTGATGAAATATTAATCTATATTTCCCAGAAGTTCAAGTAACTCCCAGTATAATAAACACAAAGAGAACCACCACTAGAACAATTGTACCTAAAAGTAGCAAGAGATAAACAACTTTAACATGTACAAAGGGACCAATATAAAACAAAACAAAAAAATACCTTTCCTCAGAATTAATGGAGGTCAAATATATCCAAAATTTAGAAAAGAAATAAATGACAACTAATAATTTTATATCCAACAAAAGTATTATTTAAAATGAAGGCAAATAAAGACATTTTAAAGTAAACAGATAATTTTGTTATTGAGAATTTATTGCTAGCATATCTTCCTTAAAATAATTATTAAATAAAGCTACTTCTTCAGGGTTAAAGGAAGTGATACTGATGGCAGCAGCGGCCCTTCTGGAGTGGCTGCTGCAAAGATTCCAGATGCAGCAGGGTTGGGGTGCAGTCAGGGCAGCACACTCCTTGAAGCCGGTGGGAGCCAGGAACAAGCAGAAGCCCTGGCCCCCTCTGAGTTGAAGGGGTGGGAGCCCTGCAGCTGCCCAGTCTAGGCTGTGAACCCAGCATCTCTGCTCTCTCGGGGGCCCGGAAAGCCCACCCTGTGCCTACAGGCTGGGAAATACCTGCTCCCACTGCCTGGCCTCTCTCCACTGCTGGTGCCCACTCTGATTTTGGAGCAAAGTTGAGGCCAAGCCCAGGCACTGTCATGACCCAGCCAGGTGTGAGTGCACCCATGGCAGTACTAACACACCAGCACTGTACCACCTTGGCCCTCTCTGGACTTTGGGCACCAACAAGCATGGGAGGGAGGCCAAGGGGGTGCTGAACACAGCTTGGTGCGGGCCCGCCCCCTCAGTGCAAACAGCCTGGGCACTGGGGATGTCAGGTTGATGACAGTGGGAGGCAGACAGGCTCCTGAGTGGAAAGGGGCAGGTCCCTGGTACAGCCCTATCTTCAGGCCTGGGATGGCCTGAGGCATCAGGGCTGGGAAGCCAGTTCTATGGCCTGGAATGAGAACTCATGGTGCTTTTTCCAGGCTGCCCACGGCCACCTATGGACCAAGCAGCATGCACTTACTCCTCTCTGATGCCCATAAAAACCCTGGACTCAGCAAGACTCAGGCAGATGTCAGAATGGCCTGCCTGAAGAGAAGAGCTACCCATCATGGGTCTTCTCTCAGCTGAGAGCTGGGAAGACATCATATAACCTGCCTGTGGAGAAGAGCTACCCACTGTGGGTCTCCTCTCAGCTGAGAGATAGGAAGATATTGAATGATCTGCATGTGGAGAGGAGCTACCCACTGTGGGTCTCCTCACTGCTGAGAGCCGGACACACTGGGACGTCCTGCCTGTGGAGTGGAGCTACCCACTGTGGGTCTCCTCTGATCTGTTCTGTTGCTCAATAAAGCACCTCTTCACCTTGCTCACCCTCCACTTGTCCTAGATATGAGACAAGAACTTAGGATTCACTGAATGGCAGGGTTGAAAGAGTTGTAACATAAACAGGATTGAAACACACCCCTCACTTGCCCACTGCGGGTGATGAGAAGGAGGGAAGAGAGAAGGGCTATGGTTTTTCAGGGAGCCCATACCTCAGAGATCTCCAAGCCAGGGCTGTGACACCCTCTTTGGGGCTTTGCAGTTCCTGGTGTCTCCAAGCTTCTGGGAGCCACTGTGTTCCCTGGTTCCAGTCATGGAAGCTGCTTGTGGTATGCTTGGTCCAACCACAACCTCACAGGGAGTCAGCTCCCGTGTTGGTGCCTGGAGCTGCCCACCTGGCTGCAGATGGTGTGCCTGGCTGTGTGCAGTGGCTGGACCCCACAATCACTCACTCATATACCCCTTGCCACTCCTCACCTGGGTAGCCCTTGGCAGGCATGGGATCTGGACCAATAGCACAAGCTGAGTGCAGCCTGCCAGGCCAATGATCCCAGCAGGCCCAAGCAAAACTCAGGCAAAGGCACCACCGGCCACAGAGCTTTCCAGTCAGAAAAGCGACACCCCGAGGATTCTGTGACAATATTAGAAAGTAAATCAAAGCCATGTAAAGGCACACAGGGCACTGGTATAGAGAATAAAGTAGGTAATTATAAAGAACAACACAAATTTGGGAAAAAAAGATGGTGGAAAAAAAATTCCCTGGATTGTGCCCTGTGCAAGGACACCAAGTTAACAACTATCTACACAGAAAACACCTTCATAAGTACCAACAATCAAGTGAACACTCACAATACTGGTTTTAATTTAGTATTGCTGAAAGGGACACCAAAGAGATTGAGAAAAACAATCTTGAATCACTGATGCCACTCTTCTCCCACCCCCGACAGTGGCAACATTGTGTGAAGAGTGTTTCAGTGTACAAGGGGAGGAGGAGTGCACTAATTGTGAGGCATTGATCTCAGTGCTGTCCTTTATAGCAGAAAAAATAACTGGACCAAACTCAGCTGATGCCTACCCACTAAGGGAGCATTTAAATCAGCCTTAGTCTAAGGGGAAAGTGGTCCAAACTCGAGTTCTTTCAAGCCTCACTGCCATGAGCTAAAAGAGCTCTACATAAACTTGAAAGGCTGTTTAGGCCACAAGGTCTACAACACCTGGGCAAGTCTGAGTGTTGAACTGGGCCCAGAGCAAGTGGACTATGGGTCATGTAGCCTATGAGACACCAGCTGGGGTAACTAACGGAGTGCTGGCATCACCCCTCTCCTAATCCCAGGCACACAGTTTGCAGCTCCAAAGAAGACCCCTTCTTTCCACCTGAGAAAAGGAGCAGGAAGGGCAGGGCAGACTATGTCTTTAATATTGGATAGCAGATCAGACACAGTAGCATAAGGCAGTAATGAGAGTCCTCAGGTCCCCTTTCCAGACCGTAGCTCCCAGATGACATTACTAGACACACCCCAGGCCAGAAAGGGACACGCTTCCTTGAAGGGAAGAATCCAGTCCTGGCATCACTCATCACCTGCTCACTGAGGAGCCCTTGGACCCTGAACAACAAGCAGCAGTACCCACGTACTACATCAAGGGCTTTGAGTGAGTGCCTAAGACTTGCTGGCTTTAAGTATCAGGTTGACCACAGTGGGGTACAGCACTAAACAAGCTCCTGTGGTCCTCCATTCCAGGACTTGGTTCTTGTTGGCACTTTTGGACCTGTCCTGTGCCCGAGGGGAGCCCAGTGCCCTGAAGGATGAGTTCAAAGCCAGGAAGCACTCACCACAAGCCGATAGAAGAGCCCTCGAGCCTTAAGGGAACATCAGTAATAGTCTGGCAATGCTCCCCAAGGGCTGTGGTGGTGGTGGCCATGGGTGAGACTCCTTTGCCTTTGGAAAGCGAAGGGAAGAGTGAAAAGAACTGCATCTAGTGGACTGAAGGCTACGCCAGCCATAGTACAGTAGAAAACCAAGCAGACTTCTAAAGTTTTTGATTCTACTCCCTGGCTCCTGGATAGTACCTCTGGACTTCCAGGGGCCTGGGGAAACTCACCACCCTGAAGGGAGGAACATAGGCTTAACTGGCTTTGCCACCTGCTGATTACAGAGCCCCAGGACCTTGGTAAAACACAGGCAGTAGCCATGGAGTGGTTAGAGTAGGCCTTGGCCAAGAGCAAGGTCTGTGCTGGCTTTAGGTTTGACCTAGCAATCACAGTGGTGGTGGCCACAAGGGTGCAATTGTATCACTCCACCCCCAGTTTCAGGTGGATCAGAACACAGACTCCATTTGTTTGGAAGAAAGTAAGGGTAGAGAAAAGAGTCTCAGTCTAGTAATTCAGATAATTCTTTCACATTCAAGCCCATCAGGATGGTGTCTGTGAGAGTTTGCAAGAACCTCAGCATTACTGGGCTTGGAGTGCTCCCAATAGCAAATACAGCTTAGATCACAACATCTAAGTCCTTTTTAATATCTGGAAAACCTTCCCAAGATGGACAAGTACAAATGAGCCCAGATTACAAAGACTAAAATAGGTACCTAACTCTGCAATGCCAAGACACAGGCAAACATCTACAAGCATCAAGACAATCCAGGAAAAAAATGACCTCTCTAAATGAACTAAATAAGGCATGAGGGACCAATCCTTGAGAAAGAGAGTTATCTGACCTTTCAGACAGATAATTACAAATAGCTATCTTGAGTAAACTCAAGGAAATTCAAGAATTCTATCAGACAAATTTAACAAAGAGTTATAAACAAAAGAATCAAGCAGAAATTCTGAAGCAGAAAAATGCAATAGATATCCTGAAGAATGCATCAGAGTCTTTCAGTAACATAACTGATCAAGCAGAAGAAAAAATTAGTGAGCTTGAAGACAGGCAATGTAAAAATACACAGTCAGAGGAGACAAATTTTTTTTTAAAAATGAAGCATGCCTACAGTAACTAGAGAAAAGCCTCATTAGGGCAAATCTAAGAGTTACTGGCCTTAGAAAAGAAGTAGAGAAAGACATAGGAATAGAAAGTTTATTCAAATGGATAACAGAGAACTTCTCAAACTTAGAGAAAGATATCAATATCCAAGTACAAGAAGGTTATAGAACACAAGCAGATTTAACTCAAAGACTACCTCAAGGCATTTAATAATCAAACTCCCAAAGATCAATGAAAAAGAAAGGATTCTAAAAGCAACAAAAGAAAAGAAACAAACAACACACAATGGAGATCCAAAGTCTGGCAGCAGACTTTTCGGTGGCAACCTTTTAGGCCAGGAGAGAGTTGCATGACATATTTAAAGTAATGAAGGAAAAGAAAAACTCTTCTACCCCAGAATAGTATATCTGTTTACAATATGTTTCAAACAATATGTTTCAAACATGAAGGAGAAATAAAGACTTTCCCAGACAAACAAAAGCTGAGGGATTTCATCAGCACCAGACCCATCCTACAAGAAATGCTAAAGGAGGTATTTCAATCATTAAGAAAAGACATTAATGAACAACAAATAACCACCTGAAGGTACAAAACTCACTTGTAACAGTAAGTACACAGAAAAACACAGAATATTATAACACTATTACCGTGATGCGTAAATTACTTTTATCCCAAGTAGAAAGACTAATAAAAGATAATAACTACAACAACTTTTCAAGACAGAGAGAGTACAATGAGATATAAAGAGAAACAACTAAAAGTTAAAAAGCAAGGCAGGGGTACTAAGTTAAGACCTAGTGTTTTTATTAGTTTCCTTTTTGCTTGCTTGCTTCTGCAAACAGTTTTAAGTTGTTGTCAGCTTAAAGCAATGAGTAATAAGATAGCATTTGCAAGCCTCATGATAACCTCAAACTAAAAAAAAATACGACTGATACACAAAAGATAAAAAGAAAAAAACTAAATTATATTACCAGAGAAAATCACCTTCAGTGGGGAAAGATAAAAAGGAAATAAAAAAGGAAGAGATGAACACAAAACAATCAGAAAACAAATAACAAAATTGCAGGATTGGCTGAGTGGATTAAAAAAGAAAAGTGAGACATATTGACCTGTTGCCTACAAGAAACACAGGTAACCTATAAAGGCACACATAAACTGAAAATATAGGGATGAAAAAAATATATCCCATGCCAATGCAAATCAAAACAGAATAGGAGTTGCTATACATATATCAGACAAAATAGAGGTCAAAACAAAAACTATAAGACACAAAGAAAGTCCATATATAATGTTAAATAGTCAATTCAACAAGAGGATATAACAATTTTAAATATACCTGCACCCAACATTGCAGCACCCAGTTATATAAGGAAAACATTAGAGCTAAAGAGAGAGACTCCAATACAAAAATATAGATTTCAACACCCACTTTCAACACTGGACACATCTTTCAGACAGAATCTCAACAAAGAAACATTGGACTTAGTCTGCACTACAGACCAAATGGATCTAAAAGATATTTATAGGACGTTTTCTCCAATGGCAGCAGAGTACACATTCTTCTCCTCAGCGCATGGGTCATTCTCAAGGATAGATCATATGTTACATCAAAAACAAGTCTTAAAACATTCAAAACTTTGGAATAACATCAAGAATCTTCTCTGACCACAATCAAATAAAACTAGAAATCAATAACAAGAGGAATTCTGGAATCTGTACAGGTACATGGAAATTAAACAATATGCTCCTGAATGATAAGTGGGTCAATGAAAAAAATTAAAAAATATTTAAAAATTATTGAAACAAATGATAGTGGAAAGACAACACACCAAAACCTATCAGATACAGCAAAAGCAATACTAAGAGGAAAATTTATAGCTATATAAGTGCTTACATCAAAAAAGAATAACAACTTCAAATAAACAATCTAATGATGCATCTTTAAGAACTAGAAAAACAGAGCAAACCAAACTAAAAATTAGTAGAAGAAAAGAAATAATAAGGATCAAAGCATAAATAAACAAAATTGAAATGAAGAAAATAATACAAAACATCAATTTTAAAAAATTAGTTTTTTGAAAAGTTAAACAAAATTGACAAAACTTTAGCCAGGAAAACAAGGAAAATAAGAGAGAGAGAAGATCAAATAAACAAAATAAGAGAAGAAAAAGGAGACATTAGAACTGAGACTGTAGAAATTCAAAGGATCATTAGTAGCTACTATGAACAACTATATGCCAATACACTGGAAAACATAGAAGAAATGGACAAATTCCTAGACACATACAATCTACCAAAATTGAACCAGGAGGAAATCCAAAACCTGAACAGACCAATAACAAGTAATGAGATGAAAACTGTAATAAAAAGTGTCCCTGTAAAGAAAAGCCCAGGACCCAATGTCTTCACTGCTGAATTCTGCCAAACATTCAAAGAAAAAATAATATCAATCCTACTCAAACTGTTCAAAATGTATAGAGTAGGGAATATTTCCAAACTCATTCTTCAAGACCAGTATTACTGTGATACCAAAACCAGAAGACAAACTATAGGTTAATATCCCTGATGAAAATTAATGCAAAAATTCTGAACAAAATACTAGAAAGAAAATTCAACAATACATTACAAAAATTATTTATCATGACCAAGTGGGTTTTATCCTGGTTTGCAAGGATAGTTCGATATACACAAATCAATTAACATGATACGTCATATCAACAGAATAAAGAACACAAACTATATGATCATTTCAACTGATGCTGAAAAAGTATTTGATAAAGTTCAACACCCTTTCATGACAAAATCATCAATAAACTGGGTATAGAAGGAATATAATAAAAGCCATATACGACAGACCCACACCTAGTATCATGCTGAATAGAGAAAAACTGAAAGTCTTTTCTCTAATATCTGGAACAAAACAAAGATGCCTAATGTCAGCATTGTTATTCAATATCGTACTGGAATTCCTAGCCAGAGCAAACAGACAAGAGAGATAAATAAAAGGCATCCAAATTGGAAAGGAAGAAGTAAAAGTGATGGCAGCAGCATCCCATCTGGAACGACCACTGTCAAGATGCCAGTGGCAGCAGGGGAGGCACAGCCAGGGCTGCATGCTCCATGGAGTCAGCAGGAGCCAAGAACAGGCAGGAACCCAGAACCCTTCAGAGCTGCTTGGGTGAGAGTTCTACCTCCTTCTGAGTTGTGGGGCAGGAGCCCCACCCAGCTGGGTGCAGCTGCAGCCACCCAGCTGAAGCTGCAAACCCGGGCATCCCTGCACTCTTGGGAGCCCAGGAAGCTGCCCTCTTGCTCCTCCAGGTTCAGAAGTACCTGCTCTCACTGCCTGGCCTCTCCCTGCTCCCAGCACTCACTCTGATTTCGGAGCAAAGTTGAGGCCAATCCCCGGCACTGTCCTAATCTGGCCAGGTTTGTGGGTGCTCAGGGTGGTGCTGGCATGCCAGCCCCCTGCCACCTTGGCCCCCTTTGGGCTTTGGACACCAACGAGCATGGGAGGGAGACGAAGGGGAGTGCTGATGGCAGCTCAGTGTAGGCCAAAAGGCACCCCTCTTCATGAGCAGCCTGGGCATCATGGACAACACGATTGATGGCAGCAGGAGGAAGACAAGCTCCTGGACAGAAAGGGACAAGTCTCCAGTGAAGCCCCACCTTCAAGCCAAGGATGGCCTAAAGTATATGGGCTCGGCTGTCAGTTCTGGGTGGAATCTTCCAGGACATGGGACAAGAACTGGGTACCCACTGAATAGTAGGACTGAAAGAGTTCTAGCACAAACAGGGCAGAAACATGCCTCCCCACTCATCACACTGTGGGCAATGAGAAGGAGAGAAGAGCTGCAACCCTGTGGGGAGCCCAGACATAGGGGTTCCCTGAGCCAGGGCGGCAACACCCTCTTTGGGCTTCACGGTTTCTGGTGTCTTCGAGCTTTTGAGTGCCACTGCGCTCCCCTTATCCAGACACTGGTGCCCACAGCAGAAGCCACTTGTGATATGTCTGGTCCAGCCGCAACCTTGCACAGAGCCAGCACATGGAGCTCTCTGCCCCACCACAGCAGCCAAAGTGCCTGGCTGTGTGTAGTGGCTGCACCCCACATTCACTTGCTTACACACTGCTCACTGCTCTGCACCAGGCTTGCCTTTGGCAGGCATGGGTTCCAAGCTGGTAGTGTGGGCTGAGCATAACCTGCCAGGCTGAGTGGGTGGAAGAAGCCCAGTGGGCGTGAGCAATATTCGGACAGAAGGCACCACCAGCCACAGAGGTGTCCAGCTAGCAAAGCAACACCCTAAGGATCCTGTGACAAAATTATCCTTGTTTGTTTACTATATACTCTTATATTTGGAAAAACCTAAACACTCCACCAAAAATACTATTAGAATTGTTTATCAATTCTATGATAAACAAGTTCAGTAAAGTTTCAGAACACAAAATAAACCTACAAAAATTAGTAACATTTCTATGTACCAATAGTGAACAATCTAAAAAAGAAATTTAAAAAAATCCCCTTAAGAATAGCCACAAATAAAATTGAATATGTAAGAATTAACTTAAACAAAGAAGTGAAAGAGTTCTATAATTAGAAACTATAAAACACTAATGAAAGTAATTGAATAGGACATCAAGAAATGGAAAAAGATTCCATGTTCACGAATAGGAAGAATCAACATTGTAAAAAAGTCCATACTTCCCAAAGCAATCTACGGATTTAATGCAATCCCTATCAAAATACCAATGACATTCTTCACGGAAATAGAAAAAAAAATGTCCTAAAATTTATATGGAACCACAAAAGACCCAGAATAGCCAAAGCTATCCTAAGCAAAAATAACAAAACTGAAGGAATCACATTACCTGGCTTAAAATTATACTACAGAGCTATTATAACCAAATCAGCATGGTACTGGCAAAAAAACAGGCATGTACACCAAAAGAACAGAACAGAGGCCCAGAAGCAAATCCACACACTTACTGTGAACTAATTTTTCACAAAAAATGCCAAGAACATACATGGGAAGACAGTGTATTCAATAAATGGTGCTGGGCAAACTGGATATCCATATGCAGAAGAATTAAACTAGACCCCCTATCTCTTGTTATATATAAAAGTGAAATCAAAATGGTCAAAAACTTAAATCTAACACCTCAAACTATGAAATTCCAAAAATACATTGGGGAAATTCTCCAGGATATTGGTGTGGGCAAACATTTCTTGAGTAATGTTTCTGAAGCTCAGGGAAGCAAGGCAAAATGGGCAGATTACATCATATCAAGTTAAAAAACTTCTATACAGTGAAGGACACAATCAACAAAGTGAAGAGAAAATTTACAGAATGGGAGAAAATATCTGCAAATTACTCATATGACAAGGGATTAATAACCAGGATTTATAAGGAGCTTAAATGACTCTATATGAAAAAATCTAATAACTCATTCAAAAAATGGGCAAAAGATCCAAATAGACATTTTTCAAAAGAAGACATACAAACGGCAAAGAAGAATATGCAAAGGTGCTTGGGATCACTGATCATCAGAGAAATGCAAATCGAAACTACAATGATATATTATCTCACCCCAGTGAAAATGGCTTATAGCTTATAGCAATAATAAATGCTGGTGAGGATGTGGAGAAAGGAAACCCTCGTTTACTTTTGGTGAGAATGTAAATTAGTACAACCACTATAAAGAATAGTTTAAAGGTTCCTCCTAAAACTAAAAATAGTGCTACCATATGATTCAGCAATACCACTGCTTGGTATATGCCCAAAAGAAAGGAAATCAGTATATGAAAGGGATATCTGCAATCCCAAGTTTGTTGCAACACTGTTCACAATAGTAAAGATTTGGAAGCAACCTAAGTGTTTATTAACAAATAAATAAAGAAAGAAAATATTGTAGATATACCCAATTAAGTAATTTTTGGCCATAAAACAAGAATGAGATTCTGTCATTTGCAGCAACATGAGTGACACTGAAGACCATTAGGTTAAGGAAAATAAGCCAGGAACAAAAAGACAAACATTCATGGTCTCACTTATTTGGGGAATCTAAAAATCAAAATAACTGAACTCTTGGAGACAGACAGTAGCAGGATGGTTACCAGGGGCTGGAAAGGGTAGTTGAAGAAGGAGTAGGGGAGGGATGCAAGAGGGTTAATGTTTCCAAAAATCATAGTTAGAAAGAAGGAATAAGACCTACTATTTGAAAGCATAGCAGCTATCATCAATAACAATTTAATTGTACATTTTAAAATAACTAAGATTATAACTGGATTGTTTGTAACACAAAGGAAAAATGCTTGGGGGATGGATACCCCATTATCCATGATGTGATTATTATGCATTGCATGTCTGTATCAAAACATCTCACATACCCCATAAATTTATATACCTATTATGTACCCACAAAATTAAAAATAAACATTAAAAAATACTAACTTATTTCTTCTCCTTACTTAAGTGACTTAAAAACCATCACATAAAATTATAATTTAAAATTGTATTGTAGGCCTTATAATCATATAATAATATTTTATGCAATATGGCAAATGCGAGGGAAGACATGGAATTATAATGGAGCAAGGAAATGATGCCATACTATAAGTTAAATCCACAGGAAAAAATGAAAATGACTGGAAGCAATAAACATGCAATGTATATGGAAGACCATGTAAATACATGGGTTTTTTTTTTTTTTGCTTTCTTCTCTTAAATTCTTCGAAAATATAAGTGAGTATGAAATAATCATTATATAAAATAATAAAGGGTTATGTACTATATATAAACAATAAATAGTATATGTTTTATATACTCATAAAAAGCATATAACACTGTATGAAGTGTAGGTGACAATAATGCTTTAATACTTTAGTAGCACAAAAAGGGAAAGGTGTAGTTATAGATTTAAGTCAGTATCAATCTCCAGTAGATTCTGAAAGGATGTATATTTTAATTCCAGGAGTAAGCACTAAAAAAAAAAAACCCTCAAAAAATATATATATATATATTTTGAGACAGAGTCTAGCCCTGTCGCCCAGGCTGGAGTACAGTGGGGCAGTCTCGGCTCACTGCAAGCTCCACCTCCCAAGTTCATGCCATTCTCCTGCCTCAGTCTCCTCAGTAGCTGGGACTACAGGTGCCTGCCACCACGGCTGGCTAATTTTTTGTATTTTTAGTAGACACGGGGCTTTACCGTGTTAGCCAGGATGGTCTCCATCTCCTGACTTCGTGATCCGCCTGCCTCGGCCTCCCAAAGAAAATATATTTTTTAAATTCAACAAAGTATTTTATAAGTATACATATTTTAAAAGTCATTTTTTCTTTGTTTTCTGCTGCTATAACAGAATACAACACACTGGGTAATTTATACAGGACAGAAGTTGATTTGGCTTATGGGTCTGGAGGCTGGGAAGTCAAGAGCATGGCACTGGTGTTGGGCAAGGATCATCCCATGGTGGAAGAGTAGAAGGTAGCAGCAAGCATGAGGGACACTGTGCTAAGGGCATTAATCCATTCATGAGAGTAGAGCCACAATGACCTAATCACCTCTGGAAGGCTCCATCTTCAAATATGATTACATTGCCAATTACATTTCAACATGAGTTTGGTGGGGACATTCAACTCATAGCAATTCCTATGAAACAGATTTTCAGAAGTG
Organism: Homo sapiens; assembly: GCF_000001405.40. Classification (NCBI taxonomy): domain Eukaryota; kingdom Metazoa; phylum Chordata; class Mammalia; order Primates; family Hominidae; genus Homo; species Homo sapiens. The sequence continues at coordinate 164,511,144 of NC_000003.12, read as the reverse complement.
GAAATGATGGCTCAGAGTTCAATATATGTTTTTATTTTCTTAATAGAAGTAATACTTTGTTTTTAAAATTGCTATAGCCATTTACATTACCAATAGTTATGTATGATACATTTTCTCTGATTCTTCGTCTGTATTAAGTATCATCTCCATGTTTAAAATATCCTGTCTTACGGGTATGAAATATGTTCAATGTTATCTTAATTTGCATTTTTGACTGCTAATTAGAGTGTCTTTCCTTATGCTTATTAACCATTTGGGTTTTTTCCTCTGTGAATTGCTTCTTCAATATCATTTCCATATTTTCCTATTGTGTTATTTGTCCCTGACTTATCAAATTATTTTTTCTTCTGTGCTTTGAAAGTTTCACTTGATATTTTAGGCCAAATTCTGATCTCAACGGTGATTATGTCTTCAATTCATTTACTAAATTGTTCATTTGGGAAGTTATATTTTTTATACATTCTAGCTCTAAAATAAATGTTTTCCATGTGTATACTGCACTTGAATATAATAACTTGCTTTTTATTGTTGTTATTCTGGTAGATACTTGTCAGCACCAACAGCTGTTTTCCTTGGTCTGTGTTATTTTTGCTTTAAGTGCTCTTCTTGTCTTGCTACTTGAAATCTTTGTTATTATATTTTTTAAAATTATTTTTTGGGCTTCTGGTCCAGTTGATGCAGCACCACCTAAACTGTGTGCATATGACATAAAAAGCATTTTCCACCTCTGCAAGCATGGGGATACAGTATTAGACAGGCTGCCATTCACCAACTGGCACACCAGGAGAAGTATATACCTGGGTCTCCTTACTCATAAGGTTTCAGGTTTGGGAAGGACCCAGGCGACTTATTCACATCCTCATTGTGTTAATATTTCATGTATGAATCAAATTATTTCAGAGAATTCAGCTTTTTCCAAGATAAGATGCACTTTAATACTGCTTGAGAGCTTTAGTCCAATCCACGATACCATGGAACCCCCATAGAGTCCTAGATAGAGGAATTGTGAAGTTCAGAGTAAAAGGGAAGAAACTGCATTCAGCTCTCAGTCTTCCAGAACCTTTTATGTTAGTATATTCTTTCCATGATTAAATATCTACTAATTTAGATTAGCTTATGGTTACTTAAACATAGTAAAATCTTCAAAATATCTCATCCAAAATTGCCTTCAGCATGTAAGTACAAAATGATAATAACTGATTTTAAAATAAATTACTAGTAAAGTTAAAACTGGTCAATGCTGTTTTGTCTTATTAAATGCAAATTCATTTTGATCCTCTTTTTCTCTAACTATTCACTGCTCTTACATTCTATCAATCGTAAAATTCATAAAGAAAAATAATGAAGTGATATGAATAAGAAATGAGATATTTATCTTTTTATATAACTTTCAAAAGTGAAAGCCCAATAATATTGAATTTCTCCTTAAAGTATAACTTGTCTTGAGGATTCACAAAATAGGGGAAATCCTGAGAGTGATGTTGTGTACTGTGTTTCATGCTAACAATAGACTGATTAGTAGTATAAGTGATCTAAACTTCCTAAATCTCAACAAATACTTACATTTAGAATGCTTTCTTTAATTTGCATTTATATTCTACAAGTTTTCCAAAATTTAGATGCCTAATGTCTTACCAAGAAATTTAAACAACATCTAATTTTACTCTTTCAGAAGTTATTTTAAATAGAAGATTGAAAATTGTACGTTTCCCTTTAAAAGTTTGGAGTGGAACTAATAATTCATATAAATAATTCACATTGAATTTATACCTATTTTAAGCTAGTAGTTTTCAAAATATTGATGCTATGCTTTAATAACAGATATTAATGATGTGTTAGTAGTTTTATGGTCAATTTTCTTATTATAGATAATGTACTTTATAATACACAGTTTCTATTTATGTTCATGGGTTGGTTGTCTTATGCTTTCTATGCATTGCATATTATGGGCTAATTGTTCCAAGCATCAAAGGTTTCCTACATAATACTGTAATGCAACTAAAGAATCTATTATTTAATAACATTGTAAGGAAAATAAAATGACCACTTTAGAAAATCAGATGCCATATTAAAGTTTTAATGATATTGCAAATAATAGCAAGATATAAAATTTGATACATTTTTATATCTGCCTAAAATAAATAAAATACAGCACTCTAAAACAATTTAAAGAATGTATAAAAGTATTCAAACAGGAAAATTAAATAATAGCAATAATATATAATAAATCATTAATTCAATAATATCAAATAATATCTAGGAAATATTTCTGACAAGTAGTGAAATTATAATTCAAAGACTTAAGTTTAGCTTTGCTTCTAGTGTATGAAAAATTGATTTAAAAACTTTTGAAAAACTATTTTGTACATCTTTGAAGCTTATTTTCTTTATTTGTCACATGGAGGAAAATAGGATTATCATAAAATAAATGAGATAATATATATGAAAGGGATTTTGAAACTCTTAGTAAGAGGTGGTACAAAAGTTAAGCATTGCTATAACCAAGGATTGCTACATTTTGACACATAAAAAACTCAGCAAATAATAAATGTTAATCCCAAATTTCTTATAAGTTTTACATTTTAGAGATAGTTATTAAGGGAATTTTCAGGCTTACTTTATATTTCTGAAAAAATGAGAGAAAACAGAAGAAAGAAGGGGACAAAGAAGGAAGAAGAAGAGGAAGGAAGGAAAAAAGGGGAAAAAACATAAAAAAGAAAATTAATCAAAATTAGAAAACCAAAGCTATCTATCTGACTTGTATTTCATGAAACAGATTTATGTACTGTTTACATGGAAAACAAAAATTTACTAAGCCATCAATTGATAATACAATTTATAAAACAAATATTTTAGCTTAATAATTTTTAATACAAATTCACAGTGTTTGTTTAAAAAGTTTCATTTTTTAACACTCATGTCAAAAAATGAATCTGAATCATGTGTAACTGTCTTGGCATCATGATGCTATTTGTGAGGAGAGTAGAGGAGTCCTTTGCTAGCTGTGTACTGTATTAGGTATGTTGACTCCTATTCTGGTTAATCCTTGTAATCACTCTCTGAATTACATATGATCCCCATTTCAGACATGAGATAACTGGTAAAACACATTCAAAATTACACATTACACATACTGGACCCTTAGCCAAGTATTACTAATTCAGAAGATATTTTTATTTCATTACACCATCTCCCTTCTTTATATGCTCATATTTTCTTAATAATTAGGTGAGAAAGTAAAGAGGAGGTAGACTAATCTGAATAATATTAGAAGTATAATTTAACAGGTACAAGATTAACATTATTTAGGCAATGTTTATGAAACTAATAAATTTAGAGAAAACATAATTAGCAAGATCAGCAGTCCCATTTCAACATAACCTTTCAGAAAATTTTCCAATGTTTGATCAAATGAAGCATGATTACTGTTAATTTGAATGTAGTTTTTTACACAAAAACCTTCCCTTGTTGATGATTAAATTCATAAGAAAGCCGCAATGTAAAATTTTGGCCATAGCAATTTGTTTTATTTGGAAATTGAAAATAACTACATTGAAATTATTACTTAATTTAAAAGAAATTCAAATGTTTTAATTGATTGATTAGGGTGTTCTGATGTTTTCACATAACAACTTTTTCAAACACCTCAGTTTATGGCAAATTATGATATATATATGAAATGCATGGTATTGGTGGATTAATGAGAATACAAAAATTTAAATATTTAATTCTGCTAAATACTATAAGATTGCTTCCCAGAAATGTTTAATATTTCACTTTTACCTTCAAGTGGCAGTTCTGTTGTGTATAATATTTGTGGAAACAAGCAAGCTTTCTTATCTGATATCTTTGATGTTGCCTGGCCAGAAGCTGGCTTTGTACCTGGGCTGTGCCTTCACCACAGGGGTAGAAGTTGTACTCAATCCCAATTTCCCTTGGGATTCATGGCCTTCTTTCCACAGCAACTCTGCAAAGATTGAGAAACCCTTTTCCCAGTTGTTGCCTTAAATTACTGTCATCTCATGTCAAGCATCTATGCCATAAAAAGGCATAATAACAGAAGGTGATATCTAGTGCATTCAGTTCAGCTTTGGATCAAGTTATTAGGAAGTTATCCACAAGTTATTAGGAAATAAGAAAAACAAGCACCTGCTACCCTTATGCCTCTGAGATTTAGCAAGCAACAAGCAATGTAGCTGCTGTTTACCCTGAGCCCAGGACACAGTAGTTTTATTTCAACCCTTATAAAATATTACTCCATTGCCTGCTTGCAATTAGAGTCCTAGAGGAAAATCTGATTATAATTTGACTGTTGTTTATTTTTAGGTGATCAGTTTTTCTTCTCCTTAAGATTTTACAACTATCTCCTTGTTTTATTTTTCTAAAATTCTATGACAACACAGAGATACACAGAATATTATTATATTATTTTGGTTCATGATTTTAAATTTTATAACACATCCAGGTGTGAATTTTCATCATCCGTCCTCCTTGATACTCTATGAAATATTCCAAACAAATATTTTTAATCATTTTTGTTTATTTAGGAAATTTTTGTTCATTATAGTTTCAACTAGTTTCTCATTTTGACTTTTTTTTTTCTCCTTCTGGTAATGCTATAATGTCTATTAGATATTAATGTAGCCACTCCAATACATTTTATTGATTGTATGTATATATCTTTTTTATTCTTTTACTTTCAATCTACCTTTATCGTTGAGTTTGAAGTGAGTTTCTTGTAAGCAAAATACATTTTTGATTTTGTTTAAAATCCACCCTTTGAATTTCTGTTTTCTGATTGATGTACTCATACCATTTACATTTAAGGTGATTATTGTTATGTTAATGTCTAATTCTGCCACCTTATTATGGGTTTTCTATTTCCTCTGATTCCCATCTCTCTGTTTTATTTGTTTTGTCTTCCTGCAGTTTATTTGAATATTTTTAGGATTTTTTTATTTATTTACAGTGGTTTGAGTGTACCTCTTTGTAGAATTTTTAATGTGGTGATGTGAGGTGTTACATGGCTTATGTATAATTTACAAACATGACTTATAGCATCCATTTGATTTTCCTTTTTGCCTTACATTTATACAATATTATCTTGCTTATTAGATGGTGGTAAACTTTTGCTTCTGTCATTGAATATGATGAACAAAACCCATGGAGAACAAGATAGTCTATTTCATGTACCATATTTCTATTCTTTTTATTCTTCTTTCCATTGTTTCTATTTGATAGTCCAAGATTCCTTATTTTATCATTTGCTTTCTATTTGAAAAATTTTCCTTAGCCAATGTTAAGAGGTTTTCTTCAAATAATTAGTTTTCCTTTACCTGAGAATTCCTATATTTTTCCTTAATTCCTAAAAGATAGTTTTACCCTGTACAGAATTCATGGTTAGAAGTTTTCACTGGATGTGGAAATTTGAAAGTGATAGGTATTATTGACAAGAGAATATTTCTAAAGTGGTCAGAACAAAGATCAGAGCAGAACTAAATGAGATTGAGATTAAAAAAAGATACAAAGGATGAATGAAATGAAAAGTTGGTTCTTTGAAAGGATGAACAAAATTGAAAGACTACTACCCAGACTAACCAAGAAAAAAAAGAGAGAAGATTCAAATAAGCACAATCAGAAATGATAAAGATGATATTACAACTGATACCATACCACATACCATACCATACCATACCATACCATACCATACCATACCATACCATAGCATATCATACCATACCATAGAAATGCAAAAGATCATCAGAATCCATTATGAACATATCTATATGCATAAACTAGAAAACCTAGAGGAAATGGATAAATTCCTGGGAACATATTAATGAAACCCCCCAAGATTGAACTAGGAGAAAATAGAAATCCTGAACAGACTAATAATGAGTAACAAAATTGAATTAGTAATACAAAATCTTCCAACAAAAAAACTCAGGACCAGACAAATTTACAGCCAAATTTTACCAGACACACAATGAAAAGCTGATAGAAATCTTACTGAAACTATTCCAAAAAAATTGAGGAGGAGAGATCTTTCTGTAACTCATTCTATGAATCCATTGTTACCTTGATACTAAAATTAAACAAAGACACACACACACACACACACACACACACACAATCTACAGTCCAATATTCCTGATGAGCATGGATGAAAAACACTCAACAAAATACTAGCAGACTTAACCCAACAGTACATCGAAAAGATAATTTATCACAATCAAGTAGGCTTTATTCCAGGGATGCAAGGATGGGTCAACATATGCAAATTAATAAACATAATTCACCAAATAAAGATAACTAAAAACAAAAGCCATATTCTCATCTCAACAGATGTAGATAAAGCTTTCTATGAAATCTAACATTCCTTCATGATAAAAACCCTCAACAAATTAGTCAACACAGAAACATATCTCAAAATGATAAGAGCCATATATGACAAACCCACAGCCAATGTCATAATGAATGAGAAAAAGTTGAAAGTGTTTTCCCTAATATCTGGAACAAGATAAGGATATCCATTCTCATCATTCCCATTCAACATAGTACTAGAAGTACTAACCAGAGAAACCAGGTAAAAAGAAATAAAAGACATCCAAACTGGAAAATAGGAAATCAAATTATCTCTGTTCACTGCTGACATGATCATATATGTAGAAAACCCGAAAGACTCCTCCAGAAAACTCCTAGATTGACAAATGACTTCCATGAAGTTCCAAGATACTAAACCTATGCGTAAAAATCAGTAGCGTTTCTATACACCAATAATGTTTAAGCTGAGTAACAAATTAAGAACTAAATCCCATTTACAATAGCCACAAGTAATAGAATACCTAGGAATACATTTAACAAAGGAAGTAAAAGATCTCTACATAGAAAGCTACAAAACACTGATGAAATAAACTGTAGAAGATACAAACAAATGGAGGAACATACTGTGCTGATTGATAGGAAGAATCAATATCATTAAAATGATCATATTACTGAAAGCAATCTAGAGACTCAATACAATTTTTATCAAATAACCAATGCTATTTTTTCACAGAATTAGAAAAAACAATCCCAAACTTTATCTGGAGAAATAAAAAGAGCTTGAATAGTCATAGCACTCTGAAACGAAAAGAACAAATCCAGGGATATCACACTCCCTGACTTGAAATTATACAAGGCTATAGTATCATATGCAAGACTCCAAGTTATTACAAGAATATAGTAACTAAAACAGCATGGTTGATATGGTTTGGATGTGTGTTCTTTCCAAATCTCATGTTGAAATGTGATCCAGAATGTTGGTAGTAGGACCTAGTGGGAAGTGAGTTCTCACCATGAGTTCATGTGAAAGCTGATTTTGTTTTTATTTTTATTTTTAAAGACACAGGCATTTCTTTTGCTCCTTCCCTTCCCATGTTATACACCTGCCCCTCTTCACTTTTCACTATGATTATAGGCTTCCTGACACACTCAGAAGAAGCAGATGCCAGTACCATGCTTCCTTTATGGCCTGCAGAACTCTGACCCAAAATAAACCACATTACTTTATAAATTAGGCAGTCTCAGGTATTTATTTGTAGCAACACAAGAAAAGGCTAATAGGATGGTACTCGTACAAAAATGGACACATACATAAATAAAACTGAATATAGAACTCAGAAATAAAAACACATACCTACAACCAACCTGATCTTTTATAAAGTAACTGAAAATAAACAACAAAGAAAGAATACCCTAATCAAGAAATAGTTCTGGGAATACTGAGTAACCATTTGTAACAGAATGAAATTGGACCCCTGTCTCTCACTATATGAAAATTAACTCAAGAAGGATTAAAGACCTAAAAGGAAAATGTGAAATTTCATTTGTCTGAGGATGAAAATCCTAGACTAAAACCTAGGGAAGACTATATTGGTCATTGGCCTATGCCACTTTATGATGACCTCAAAAGCAATTGCAACAAAAACAAAAATAAGTTAATGGGACTTAATTAATTGAAAAAGCTTCTGCACAGCAAAAGAATCAACAGTATAAACAGACAACCCACAGAATGGGAGAAAATATTTGCAAACTATGCCTCCAGAAAAGGATTAATATCCATAATCTACAGGGAACCCAATAATCCAGCATATAAACAGAACCAACTACAAAAACCACATGATTATCTCAATAGATGCAGAAAAGGCCTTTGACAAAATTCAACAACACTTCATGCTAAAAACTCTCAATAAATTATATATTGATGGGACGTATCTCAAAATAATAAGAGCTATCTATGACAAACCCACAGCCAATATCATACTGAATGGGAAAAAACTGGAAGCATTCCCTTTGAAAACTGGCACAAGACAGGGATGCCCTCTCTCACCACTCCTATTCAACATAGTGTTGGAAGTTCTGGCCAGGGCAATCAGGCAGGAGAAGGAAATAAAAGGTATTCAATTAGGAAAAGAGGAAGTCAAATTGTCCCTGTTTGCAGATGACATGATTGTATATCTAGAAAACCCCATCATCTCAGCCCAAAATCTCCTTAAGCTGATAATCAACTTCAGCAAAGTCTCAGGATACAAAATCAATGTGCAAAAATCACAAGCATTCTTATACACCAATAACAGACAAACAGACAGCCAAATCATGAGTGAACTCCCATTCACAATTGCTTCAAAGAGAATAAAATACCTAGGAATCCAACTTACAAGGGATGTGAAGGACCTCTTCAAGGAGAACTACAAACCACTGCTCAAGGAAATAAAAGAGGATACAAACAAATGGAAGAACATTCCATGCTCATGGGTAGGAAGAATCAATATCGTGAAAATGGCCATACTGCCTAAGGTAATTTATAGATTCAATGCCATCCCCATCAAGCTACCAATGCCTTTCTTCACAGAATTGGAAAAAACTACTTTAAAGTTCATATGGAACCAAAAAGAGCCCACATTGCCAAGTCAATCCTAAGCCAAAAGAACAAAGCTGGAGGCATCACGCTACCTGACTTCAAACCATACTACAAGGCTACAGTAACCAAAACAGCATGATACTGGTACCAAAACAGAGATATAGACCAATGGAACAGAACAGAGCCCTCAGAAATAATGCCACATATCTACAACTATCTGATCATTGAGAAACCTGACAAAAACAAGAAATGGGGAAAGGATTCCCTTTTTAATAAATGGTGCTGGGAAAACTGGCTAGCCATATGTAGAAAGATGAAACTGGATCCTTCCCTTACACCTTATACAAAAATTAATTCAAGATGAATTAAAGACTTAAATGTTATACCTAAAACCATAAAAACCCTAGAAGAAAACCTAGGCAATACCATTCAGGACATAGGCATGGGCAAGTACTTCATGTCTAAAACACCAAAAGCAATGGCAACAAAAGCCAAAATTGACAAATGGGAACTAATTAAACTAAAGAGCTTCTGCACAGCAAAAGAAACTACCATCAGAGTGAACAGGCAACCTACAGAATGGGAGAAAATGTTTGCAATCTACTCATCTGACAAAGGGCTAATATCCAGAATCTACAATGAACTCAAACAAATTTACGAGAAAAAAGCAAACAACCTCATCAACAAGCGGGCAAAGGATATGAACAGACACTTCTCAAATGAAGACATTTATGCAGCCAAAAGACACATGAGAAAATGCTCATCATCACTGGCCATCAGAGAAATGCAAATCAAAAACACAATGAGATACCATGATACACCAGTCAGAATGGCGATCATTAAAAAGTCAGGTAACAACAGGTGCTGGAGAGGATGTGGAGAAATAGGAACACTTTTATACTGTTGGTGGGACTAAAAACTAGTTCAACCATTGTGGAAGTCAGTGTGGTGATTCCTCAGGGATCTAGAACTAGAAATACCATTTGACCCAGCAATCCCATTACTGGGTATATACCCAAAGGATTATAAATCATGCTGCTATAAAGACACATGCACACGTATGTTTATTGCAGCACTATTCACAGTAGCAAAGACTTGGAACCAAGCCAAATATACAACGATAGACTGGATTAAGAAAATGTGGCACATATACACCATGGAATACTATGCAGTCATAAAAAAGGATGAGTTAATGTCCTTTGTAGGGATATGGATGAAGCTGGAAACCATCATTCTCAGCAAACTATCCCAAGGACAAAAAAACAAACACCGCATGTTCTCGCTCACAGGTGGGAATTGAACAATGAGAACACATGGACACAGAAAGGGGAACATCACACACTGGAGCCTGTTGTGGGGTGGGGGGAGGCGGGAGGGATAGTGTTAGGAGATACACTTAATGTTAAATGACAAGTTAATGGGTGCAGCACACCAACATGGCACATGTATACATATGTAACAAACCTGCATGTTGTGCACATGTACCCTAAAACTTAAAGTATGATTGAAAAAAGGAAAAAAAGAAAAAACAAACAACCCCATTAAAAACTGGGCAAAAGACATAAACAGACATTTCTCAAAAGAAGAAATACAAATGGCCAACAAATATATGATAAAAATGCTCAACATCACTAATCATCAGAGAAATGAAAATTAAAATCACAAGGAGATATCATTTTATACCAGACAGGATGACTATTTTATTATTATATGTATTATTGAGACAGGGTATAACTCTGTTGCCCATGCTGGAGTGCAATGGGATGATCATGGCTCACTGCAGCCTCCCAGGTTCAAGTGATCCTCCCACCTAAGCCTCTCAAGTAGCTAGAACTACAGGTGTGTACAACCATGCCCAGCTAATTTTGTATATTTTTCTTTTGTAGAAGCAGATTCTCACTGTGTTCTCCAGGCTGGTCTCGAGCTCCAGGGCTCAAGGATTCTCCTGCCTTGACCTCCCAAAGTGTTGGGATTACAGGTTTCAGCCACTGCAACCAGCCCAGATGGCTTTTAATAGAAAGTTAAAAAACAGCAGGTGTTGGTGTGAAAGCAGAGAAAAGGACATGCTTATACAAGTTGGTGGATGTGTAAATTAGTTCAACCTCTATGGAAAACAGTATAGAGATATCTCAAAGAAGTAAAAATAGAACTACCATTTGACCCAGCAATCCCACTACTGGATATCTACCTAAAGGAAAGGAAATCATTATATTTAAGATACCTGCATTCATATGTTTATCACAGCATTATTCACAATTGCAAATTTCTCATGGAATCAACTTAGTATCCACAAAAGGCTGACTGTCTAAAGAAAATATTGTATATATACACTATGGAATACTATGCAGCCATAAAAGTGAATAAAATCATTTTCTTTGCAGCAACGTGGATGGAGCTGGAGGCCATTATCCTACATGAACTAACTCAGAAGCAGAAAATAAAATATCGTATGTTCTCACTTACAAGTGGAAGCTAAACAAGGAGTACGCATGTACATAAAATGAAGATAATGAACATTGGTGGCTCCACAAAGGGAGAGGGTGGGGGAGGGGGAGGGTTGACAAATTACATATTGAGTATAATGTTAGATATTTTAGTTATGGGTCTACTAGAAGCCCAATCCTCACCATTATGCATGTAATATCAGTGTAACAAATCATTACATGTACTCCCTAAATCCAAAATAATATTTTGAAAAATAATAAAAACAAAGTAATCATACCAAAAGCCTGATTGGTTTGGGCTCAAGGGAGAATGAGAAAAAGGCTTCTGGATTTCTCGAGGATAACAAGGTTAAACCAGAGTATTCCAGCATGTCTTCCCAACATACACACAGACACACAGACACACACACACACACACACACACACACACACACACATACATGCATCAATGAGGAAAACTAACAATATAATTTATGATCTGTAATTAATGATATCATACAGCATAAATAAAAACAAAAGATATAACAAACTTTAACTTAATGGGGAAATCTATTTCTGAAACTGGAAGAACCATCTACCATCCCAGAGCATAGAACTGAGAGAAATCCAGGCAGAAAACAGGAAAGACCTCTCCTAAGTAGAACATAGGTGAATATGGATTGTGTTTTTTTTTTCTGTGGCCAGAGAAACATGTTTACTTTGTAACTCCTGGTTGTACATTACCTAAGCAGTGCTGTTACATAAATCACCTTCACATATCCATGCTATTGCTGAGACTGAAAACATTAGTCTTTAAAAAAAACTGATTTCTGTTGTTATTACTCAAACTTAGTTGTTGATTACCACAAACAAATTAAAAACATAACATATTTATTGAGTCTATCTTATGGGAAAACAGATGAATGTTTTAGCCTAAATTAAATTTCTGTTATGATAGTCTCACATTTCTATGCAAAAATTATAATTCCCAATTATGTAACTCATAATGACAATTTAACATAGTTTGACAATTATGTTATACAACTTGAAATACTTAGAAAAACATTGCATAAGTATATGTGTAATCTGAGAATATGTTTCTAAGTAACATGTTAAGTAATATAATAATTATTCCAGAGGAAATTAAGTTATTGTTTCATTAGCCTGCTAAGATATTGAGATTTCATTCATGTATAGTTTATGGTCAATCTTCCATGATAATATTCAATTTAGGGAATGAGAAAGAGCAACAAATTTTTTTTAAAAAAAACTAAAACTATAAATACATGCAGTATAGGTAAAAGAAAAAAAAAATAGCTCTTTCATCATATAGAAAAGGAAACCAGTACTTTATATCTCTTATTTAACTTATATAATTAGAGTTGTACATTAAAAGAAAATGTTCTTCAAAAAAATAAACATTAGCAAAAACAAGTCATATGTTGCCAATTAAGTGAAATACCAAACCAACAACTAGAGACAGAGTAAAATGAGAAAAACAAAAAACAACAAACCTGAATTTGGAACTGCAAGTCTAAATTAGTGTCCCAGATCTATGCTCTTGGTAGAAAATTACATTTTCTTGTTACTAAACAGGGTTTGTAATAATAAGGTTAATAAATTATTAACATAGGGCACTTTAAAAAGTATAAAATTCAAAATATATATCACATAATGATTTTATGCATAATAATAAACATGATTTTTATGCATCAAATGCACCAGAAGTAAGACATACAAGAAGATGCATATGACACAAAGCTGTATAGTATTTGCATACCCAGTCCTTATTAAGTGTAAAATTTAGCTATATTTATTGATGTATTATAAGCTCTGAGTAATATTAATATATTACAATTGATGTTAATAATAACTATTTCTTGATTTTTTTCTCAGAAATAAAATTGTCACTGAGCTCCAGTAAAACACAAAAGACCTTAGATGGGCCTTGCTACGTGGTAGCGAAGACACTACGCAGTGTGGTGACTTCATCTTTAGTTGGAACTCCATTAATAAGGCTCACGAATTTCAGCATTTCAGTGATATTCCCACCCCAAGAAAGGGAATGATCATAGGTAATAAAAAAGGCTTAGAGATGTGTTCTAGAAAGTGAAATTTAGGTGGGTTGTGTATATATTACTGAAATATTGTTAAAAAGGAGGGAAAAAGACAAATATATTTCCAAAATTTTGCACAAATGTTCTTTGGGCAGGGTAAGGTGACAGAGTAAGTTTAGCTGTGAAATAAATGATGCAGATGCCTTTAATACAAATAGTTTCTCCTTTTTGAGACCATCACCATTTATATTACATGCCCTCTAACTCTTAACTATATATTTCTTTCTTTTACAGAATCTAATGTCTTCCAGATTCTCTTAAAAAAAGTTAAATTTCATTTGTCTAAGGATTAGTCTTGATTTGATTGCATGAGATCGCTCCACATCCATCCTCCACATAACAAATTATTTGTCTGTCAATATGTTCTTGACCGTGGTTCTTTTTCTTTGGAAAAAAAACTTATTTATTTATTTATGTTATTATTAAAGATAAAAGGCATAATGTTTCTATGTTAACTCTTATGCTTATTTTTGTTAAAGAATAATAAAAAATGTCAAGTGTAAAGACGAACAGGAGAATTTTTGTTTTGTTTTGTTTGTTACTATTTTAATATGGAGAAAGCCTTAAAGAAGGTAGAAATCATTCTGGGTTTGAACAGAGAAAAAGTTTGCTGTTTAAGGCAAGAATAAGCAATGAAAAAGCTACAGAAATGGTAGTTTCAAAATAAGTAATTTTCAAAGATTTCAACATCGTTTAAAGAGTTACACAGATTTTTGCTGTGCAGAAGCTCTTTAGTTTAATTAGTTCCCATTTGTCAATTTTGGCTTTTGTTGCCGTTGCTTTTGGTGTTTTAGTCATGAAGTCCTTGCCCATGCCTATGTCCTGAATGATATTGCCTAGGTTTTCTTCTAGGGTTTTTTTATGGTTTTAGGTCTAACATTTAAGTCTTTAATCCATCTTGAATTAATTTTTGTATAAGGTGTAAGGGAAGGATCCAGTTTCAGCTTTCTACATATGGCTAGCCAGTTTTCCCAGCACCATTTATTAAATAGGGAATCCTTTCCCCATTTCTTGTTTTTGTCAGGTTTGTCAAAGATCAGATGGCTGTAGATGTGTGGTATTACTTCTGAGGACTCTGTTCTGTTCCATTGGTCTATATCTCTGTTTTGGTGCCAGTACCAAGTTGTTTTGGTTACTGTAGCCTTGTAGTATAGTTTGAAGTCAGGTAGCGTGATGCCTCCAGTTTTGTTCTTTTGGCTTAGGATTGACTTGGCAATGCGGACTCTTTTGTTGGTGGGACTGTAAACTAGTTCAACCACTGTGGGAGACAGTGTGGCGATTCCTCAAGGATCCAGAACTAGAAATGCCATTTGACCCAGCCATCCCATTACTGGGTATATACCCAAAGGATTATAAATCATGCTGCTATAAAGACACATGCACACGTATGTTTATTGCGGCACTATTCACAATAGCAAAGACTTGGAACCAACCCGAATGTCCATCAACGATAGACTGGATTAAGCAAATGTGGCACATACACACCATGGAATACTATGCAGCCATAAAAAAGATGAGTTAATGTCCTTTGTAGGGATATGGATGAAGCTGGAAACCATCATTCTCAGCAAACTATCCCAAGGACAAAAAAACAAACACCGCATGTTCTCACTCATAGGTGGGAATTGAACAATGAGAACACTTGGACATAGGAAGGGGAACACCACACACTGGGAACTGTTGTGGGGTGGGGGCGGGGGGAGGGATAGCATTAGGAGATATGCCTAATGTAAATGACAAGTTAACGGGTGCAGCACACCAACATGGCATATGTATACATATGTAGCAAACCTGCACATTGTGCACATGTACCCTAGAAATTAAAGTATAATAAAATAAATAAATAAATAGGTACAGTGAAAAAAAAATAGTTACACAGATTTACTGTCACCTGGGTGGGAACAAAGAGAAGTTTCATGAATAGGTACAAACCTCAAAGCTCATGATTGATGAGATGTTTTTTTCCCATTTAACAGGATTGAATGTATTACAAAAGAATCTATTCCTAGAAGATTCATTAGTCCAGGTATCAAGGTATATAGGATAGTGGTTCTCAAACTCTACTGCACATAAAGTAGCCCAGTGGTCTTGTTTAAAAAGACACAGTTCCTTTTCTTCATTCTTAGACTGAATCATAGATGGAGAAAAGTAGCTAGGGTGATTCTGATATGTAGTCTATAGACCCCCCCACGTTCAAAAACAACGTTCCTGGACAGTGTTTAACGATGACTGTGTGGAGAGCAACTAGTTCTACATGTGCACTGAGAACAATCACTTGAACATTCACTCTGCAACATGTATCATTAATGACAAATAACATTTTTCCTGGATGTAATATCTTGTTAAATCCTCACAACCATCATGTGATAGGACATTTTCTTTACCACCATTTTCCAGCTGAGGAAACTGAAACTCATACAATTGGATAATATAGCCTTATTCACATTTATTCAATAAATATTAAGTGTCTCTAAGGTGCCTGGTGCTCTGGAAGATGGTTGGCAAACTTGTGGTGAACAAGAACAACTAAAGCCCTTGTTCCTATGATGGGAAGTAGTAGTAGAGAGAAAAAATAAAGTATGAACAAATAAATGCAAGTGTGAGACAATTTCAATGGATTGTAGAAAATAGAAAAAGATTATATAATATAAACTTGGTAGTCAGATTAGGACCTGAGAAGCAATTTTTTTGTGTGTACATGTGTGTGTCTGTGTGTGTCTCTATGACATGAATAACACGGAGGAGCCCAGCCATGAAAAGTACAGACTCCTTTCAGGAACAGCAAACAGCAAGGGTAAAAGGCTCAAGCCATTTATGTTAAAAGGCACAGTTGTAAAACTTTGAGCTGATTTTCTATTTAATAGCTGACTATATTTGATCATTTCTAAAAAAGGCATGTACACCTGGAAGGATGTGTCTTGTGCTTCTATTAAAACAGGGCTCTCATACGAATTGTCAAGTAACACAAAGATATTTTCTCTTTGCAAGATGAAAAGAGTGCTTTTTAGTCAGATAAGAGTGAGACTGTATGTCATTCATTTTAATAGCTAGAATCAAATGTATGTGGCTTAACAATTACTCATTTGCGCAATACTTTAAGTTATTGGAGTTATGAAAAAAGAGAAAAAAGTCAAGGCTGTGAGCATTGAGAGGCTGAGTAGTTGAACAACTAAGTAGTTCTGGGAAAATAGCTTTAGCTCGTGAAAAATAATAGGAAAAATTACAAGTCTTTTGAACTCAGGACCTCTGACGAAGTGCTCGCCTAAACTGTATGTCACCAAATAAAACACCTGTGTACATTTGTATGGCTCTGGAAACTGTGAAAGCCTTGATATATGAAGAATACCTTTATAAAAAGAAATGAGTTGACTATTACATTATAAACTTGAGTTAAAATAAAGATTATAATTCACTTATTATGTGACCAGAATGTGTTTGTTCAAACGTTTTTTGAATGTAGACCTTAACTGATAACTAGATATTGCTTAGGAGTAAATAGACTTTTCTAAGATTTTTGTCCTATCTTGTATGTACTAATATGTAAAACTAGTCAATTTGAAGGGAGGAAATATTTACTGCTACTTTGGAAAATGTGAAACAACTCCAAAATTGACTTTGAGTTTTGTGGATTCTGAATGTTTCTAGTTGAAGACTTAAGAAAATAAAAAATGCTCTGATGTTAATAGGTCATGATTTTGCTATGATTGGAATGACTTTAATTAATCTACAAGTTTTGTCTAAATTTATAACAGCTTGTCTTCTCATTAAAATGTGAAAAAATATGAGCATCATATTTTCAAAATGAAAAGTGATCTGGGTCCTAAAAAACACATGTAGTATCCTGTTTTGAAATAGAGAAATATATGCAGCACGAATGTCAAAAGCTGCAAAGTGTTCACGGTCTATTGTTCTACCCAATTTTACTCCAAGACCCCCAGTATTGTAAACTGATCATTTAATGCTCACCTGCAGGCTCAAAGCTTAATCTGATTACTATCAAGAGATGACATAAATCAAAGTAATTGAAGGCTGAGCCTTCTGCCCTGCTGCCTATTAGTACATGTACTTCTTTTAATTTTGTGTCTTATTCTTCATAAGAAAATCATCAACTTCTATTACTGTTACAATCGCTGAGAACTTTTTCTATCCAGTTACTAGTTTCCTTTTTGGTCCCCCCTTAATTCCATCTCATTTTCTGGCCTGGAGTTCTGCCCTGGACCCTGGTTCCCAATGCAGCCTTATCCTACTTTTTGCCACATCTACTGATCATCCTCCTGCTATTATCCAAGTTTCTTCACCCTCCTACCAATATACTGGGGCCCTGCCCACTTTTGAATAACCTGACACAGAGACAAATTTCCACCTCTACGTTTCTTTTCTCTACCAAGAAAGTGCTTAATAAATGTGATTACATAAAATAATCATAGGAAGAATTAAATAAACCTTTATTATTGGGGCACACATCCCAAGTCTATTGAAATAGAAATCAACCCACATCGCATAAATCAATATTTTGTAACCTCCAGAGGTGATGTCTATATTGCAAAGATTAGCAAACCTGAATATATTTTAGAATTGCCTGAGGGCCTTAAAAATATATTTCTGGAACTCCAGTCCAGATATATTTAATCAGAATCTTGGGAATGGATGCAGGTCTAGGTAGAATTTCTAAGCTTACTAAGTGATTTTAACATGTAATAGAAGTTGAAAAGCTCTGTATTATAACCAACTTGTTTGAGACTCAGTGTTCCAAAACTCCTTCAGTCGTCTGTAGATGCTACTAGATGCTCACTATATTCTCCTCTGGCCTGCCTTATATGTGATGCTTATCTACAATTTTAGTCATTCCCTCATTACATATTTTTAGTGCTGAAAGGTGGCAAGTATAATATCAGGCTCTACTGCCTAACCAATCTTGATCGATTTCTATAGACTCAGCTGTGATTGTTCTGGGAAGAACAAAAATGTATCATTAAAAGTTACAGGGAGGCATTTATAAAATAATAAGTTCCTGAGATCGTATAGTCAGGGGGTAGCTTTCTTGTGTGACAGCAGTGTTATGATTTCTGTATCTTAAGCAAAGCAAATATTTTGCAGTATAAAGCCTAAAAGTTGTGTACATTGGCAAAAAGAAAGAAAAAAAACAATGGCCACAACATGAGAAAGAAAGAGAAGAGAGAACCAGCAGAAAGAGAATTTTTTTAAAAAAGCACTTCTTTGGTAACTGAAATAGATAATTTTCAGTGCCTGATTGATCCAAGGGGAACTTCTTATGTTCAATATGCATAGACCTTCTATACCAGTGGCTCTTTTGTTGTCTAGATGGCATTGGCAACATCTCGAAAAAGTCTGGGTTATTACAATCTGGGGAAGGGTGCTGCCAGAATCTAGTGAGAATTGCCCAGGAATGCTGCTAAATATCCTTCTCTGCAAAGGACAGGCCTCCACGACAAAAATTATGCAACCTAGAATGTTAATAGTGCTAATGTTGAGCTACCCTGATCTATAATAGTAAATTATGAAGAGTCAGAGCTGCAGCTGAAGAAAAGATTTTTGAGCAATTAGAATCAGGGAGACAGAAATCTGAGTTTATGTAAAAGGCTTGATAGAATTATATTCTATTCTAGACTGACCTAAGATGTGAAACATAGGAAAAAAATATGACAAATGTAACATAAGTAAAAATATCCAAATAAAACTGTAGCAGTTATAGCTAATGGTATAACCAAACAGCATTGACCAACCCCAACAGAACTTTCCATGATCATGGAAAAGTTCTATATCTGCACCATGTCCAGTACAGTAGCCACTAGCCACCTAAGATTATGGAGAATTTTAAATGAACCTATTGAGCTAGTATGGGTGAGAAACTGAAGTTTTCATTGTATATAATTTTAATTAAACTTAAATAGTGTGAACTAAATATGATTTAAAGTCCACTAATCCGATGCATTCATGGGGAGCTTAAATTTAGAACACAGTTTATTAGGGAGAGAGTCAAGGCTTGTGGATTATAGATGAATAGGTTCTGGGGCCAACAGTGGTAGTGATAGCTTACCAATTTGGGAGAGGAGCAGCAGTTTCCTTGGTAGTTTACCAGTGTGGCTTTGTAAATATTCTTGAAAACTCAGACTAGAGTTTATTTTTTTAATGCTTCCCGGTGATTCTGTGAGCTATTGCAAACCCTATGACAAAAGTTCCCAAATATTTTTCAGTTCATAGTGCCTTTAGTCTCTTGGCAACTATTTTTTTACAGTGCCAGTAGGAATTTAAAATCTAAAATCTATGTGTCTTAGTTTGTTCATGTTGCTGTAACAAAAATACCATAAACTGGATGGCTTATAAACACATAAATTTATTTCTCACAGTTATGGTGTCTGGGAAGTCCAAGATCAAGGTGAGGAAAGATTCAAAGTCTGGCGAGGGCCAGCTTCTTAGTTCATAGATGCTCATCTTTTTACCAAGTCCTTACATGGTGAAAGAGACAAAGGAGCTCTCAGGGACCTCCTTCATAAGGACACTAATCCTATGTCTGAAAACTCCACCTTTATGACCTAATTATCTTCAGTGGCGCTCCATCTTAATGATATTGCTTTGGGGGTTAGGATTTTAACAAATGCCTTTTGAGGGGACACAATTTCCATAGTACTGTGTTATATACACGGTTGTACAGTCTGTACACAGACCGTACAGTATAATCTTTAACACAGGTACTATGCTCTATTATATAGGTCAAAACAACTTAATAGGAATAATTTCCACAGTGACCAATACGTGTCACTGTGTAGCCTCAACAATTTAAGTTATCATTTAGCATCTCTGTATAGCCACAGTTTGAGAACTGTGGTCCCATAGTAAATTACTTGCTGTTCAGACTAGTGTAGAGTCTATTTTTCAGTCTTTTCAATGTTTCCAAAAGCTTTTTAGGGTGAATTCTTCTTGCCCAATCTGGTTAGAATGAATTCTGTATTTGCAAAGGATATGGACTGATACAGGGTGAGCCCATCATTATATTCTTTAAACAGACGAGAAAGGTGCATTTTGAAAAGATAATAAATTTCTCTCACTAACTCATAGGTGGCAGAACCACAATTTTGAGACAGGTAATATTCCTTCAGAACTAATGGTTAATGTCACCATTCTGCTATATATCCAACTACTTGGGAGGAAAGTGAGACTTAGTGAAGTTTATTAGTGAAGTTGAAATCATTCACCTTCACTGGAGTGGTTATGAGGTTTTGAAGCCAGGTGTGTCTAATTATAAAACTCATCATTTTATAATATTCTAACCTTCCTATTAGTTATTTGACAATAATGGGGCAAATTCTTTCAATTTAACATTGGTGATTAACATACAAACATCTGCCTATGCCTACTGCTTTAATGATTTTGTACTTGAACTACATGACTTAGTAATAGTTCTCAAGGCTTGCTTCAGTATGATCCTGATGGGAGGGGACATAGCTAGGCTTTTTCATAACTGACATCAAACTGACCACTCTAGTTGCATATGAATAAAACTTGAAAAATTTTGTCTCTACTCTACCATCCGATTTTTAAATTCTGCTGGAAATATGCTTGGACACAAAAGTTGACTTATTTTAAACCACAATAATATTTTTTGGTCATTTTAAACTTAATCTCTATTTCACTTGTTCAGAATTATTCTTCTAGTAAATTATTGTGTTGTGTCACCTCTGATTAATTTATCTGCATCTGTGTCATTAAAATTATGCCACAGTTGCACTATTTTCTTACTTATGAGCACACTTTAACTCATTTTTTTTTTCCTCTAAACTTCATACTCTAGGAAATCTAAACAAGAACTAGTTTGAGTTGGAGATAATGTGAGGTTGGGTAATGGGAACAAAAATACAGGTAGAATGAATAAGATCTACTATATGGTGGCACAATAGAATGACTATAGTTGATAATTTATTGTATACATTTAAATAAAAAGTGGAATTGGAATGTCTCTAACACAGATAAATGATAAAGCTTTAGGTGACAGATATTCCAACTATCCTAGTTTTATCATTACTTACTGTATGTCTCAACACATATAATACATTGTATGATACATACATTGTATATATATCAAAACATCACATGTACCCCATAAATATATACAACTATGTGTACCCCAAATAATTAAAAATAAAAATGTTAAAAAGAACTCTCTCCTAGTTAACTATACAAATTATTAACAGAAATACTGAAGTACTGAAAATACTTCAAATATTAGAGTGCAGTGGATTCTCTTTATTCATGGATTCTGCATTTTCAAATTTGCTTCATTTGGCTAAAATTTATTTTTCAACCCCCAAATCATTACTTACGTCCCTTTTATGTACATAGACAGATTGCTGAAAAATTTGAATTATCTGATACATATGTTCCTAGTCAAGGTTAAACAAGACAATGCTCTGACTTCTTGTGCCAGCTCTCATACTATAAAGTGTCCTTTGTGTGGTCTATTTAATGTCATGTTTTTCACATTTTTGTTAGTGATTTTGATACTTAAAATGGACCTCAAGTATAGCGCTGAAGTACTGTCTAGCATTTCTAAATGCAGAAAGACTGTGACATGACCTTATGAAGAAACAGTTCAGGCATGAGTTACAGTGTTGCAGCAATGAGTACATTAATGATTCAACAATTTGTGTGTGTGTGTGTGTATATAAAATAAGCTCTATATTTACATAGGTACACACACATGGTGTGCGTGTGTATATTAAAAATAAGGTGTCTTAAAAAACACAACAAACAAGGTTATGCATTGATTAACTGATAAAAATATTTTGACCAAAGGTGCACAAGAACTTAAATCTGCATCTCCCCTGTGAACAATGATTTGGTGTTCGCTATCCCAGTGTTTGTGATGACTTTATAGAACATAACTAGAGCAAATAATGAGAATTAATCATATTAGAAATTAGTTTCTTTGACCTAAAGCGGAAATGCTGATGCTGAAATTTATTACATCATTACGTTTTCCTGTGTCTCACCAAATTTCACTGTGTTGGCACTAAAATTATGGAAATATTCAAACATCTATTTATTTTTTAAATAAGAAGTATCACAGTAAAAAATTTAATAAAACCTAATATCACTGATCAATTCACAAAAATGAAACATTTACCTAATAATTATATCTATGGCTTTCTTTATATATCATATAAAAATTCAGGCAGACACTGAAGAAAGAGTATATAAATTTCATTCTACTCTGATATTTTAATACATATGGACACATGACAAACCAAAAATTAAATTATCAAATTACTTGATTCTATAATAAATGTAGAGTTATTTTGAAGTGATTTAAATTTTAAAATCTCAGTAAGAATTGTACAATGTAACTTTTACTACATGCTTTATGATATCACTCATATTCAGCTTAACTTTGTATTGATTTTTTCACATTTTCTAACATATTACAACATTTTATGATAAGAAAAATCATTGTTTATCATTTATTTGTTGGGAACATGTATCTAACTGCATTTTTCAGGGTTCTCCAGAGAAACACACACACATATATCTTTATATATAATCTTTACATATATATTCAAATATATGTCTATTTATATTTATATATTATATATATAACTATATATACCCCTATCAATTATATATAATTATATGTATATAATTGGATATATATATGATTTATTTATTTTTATTTTTATTTTTTGAGACAGAGTTTCATCCCTGCTGCCCAGGCTGGAGTTCAGTGGCGTGATCTTGGCTCACCACAACCTCTGCCTCCCTGGTTCAAGCATTTCTCCTGCCTCAGCGTCCCCTCCCGAGTAGCTGGAATTAAGGTGCCCACCACCATGTTAAGCTAATTTTTTGTATTTTTAGTAGAGATGGGGTTTCATCATGTTGGCCAGGCTGGTCTCAAACTCCTGACCTCCAGTGATTCACCCACCTAGGCTTCCCAAAGTGCAGTGCAGTGGATTCTCCTTATTCATGGATTCTGCATTTTCAAATTTGCTTATTTGCTAAAATTTATTTTTCAACCCCCAAATCAATACTTACATCCTTTTTATATACATGGACAGATTGGTGAAAAATTTGAATTACCTGAGACATATGTTCCTAGTCAAGGTTAAACAAGGTAATGATCTGACCTCTTGTGCCAGCTGTCATACTATAAAGTATGAGGCATGAGCTACCAAGCCCGGCCCTATATAGTGGTTTATTATAAGGAATTAACTCACATGATTATGGAGGCTAATAAGTTCCAAGATCTACAGTTCACAAGCTGGAGACCCAGGACAGGTAATGGTGGTATTTCAGTCAAAAGGCCAGCGGTCTTGAGACTTGGGAAAAGTTCATGTTTTAGGTCAAGTGCAAAGGCAGAAAAAACACAGATGTCCTAGCTTGAAAGCAGTCTGGCAAGAGGAGTTCCCTCTTATTCTGAAGAGGGTTAGCCTTTTGTTCTATTCAGGCTTTCAGCTGATTGGAGGAGGCCCAGTAATCAGAACAATCTGATTTACTCATTCTATCAATTAAAAGATAAATTCGTTCAAAAATATTTGCACAGAAACACTTACAATGATATTTGGCCAAATATCTGGGCACACTGCGGTCCAGTCAAGTTAACATGCAAAATTAACCATTATGGTGGCTAATATACATTGTGACACATTTTTTAATTCATTTATTTAGAAAGCATGTATATTGAACAGGCTTATTTTAAGAAATTTCCAAATGTTTTCTCACTTAGGCTGCCTAAACATTTTGGATAGTAACTCTATTTACCGATGAGAAAACTGAGACACATTGAAGTCAATTAATTTGCCTAAAGTAATAGAGCTGGCAAGTTTTAGAGCCATATGTAAACCCATGCCATAACCATAAAGCACAAGGTGATGCTGCCTTTTCGTCTTCTTGTACAAAGTCCCCCCACACAGGTAAACTCATTGTATTTTTATGATAACACCCTGAGGTAACCATTATTACCTCCACTTCACAGGTGGAAAAATTGAGTTCCAGAATAATTATTCAAGTTTAGAAAACTGAAAATATAGTTAAGCCAGGACTAAATTGCAGTTTCTGTTTTTAAAATCTCTGAAGTATTCCCGGTATAAAGTAGAAGGCTTGTATGAGAACATTTCTTGTTATTGTTGAGCCCTTATTTTACAATTTACCTCAACGGTATGTGCAATGTACTTTAAAAATAATCACGTAGAATCAGAAATTCTAAAATGTTTTTCTTCAGCATACTACTGAGTTTTTGAGTTAATATTTTACCAGGATACATGGTCTAATTATGAAACAGTGTGATTTATCACCACAAATACACCATCACACTGATAATGTATTACTCAATAAAGACACAACAGCTGGAAAGAAATTCCACAGAATTTGGCAGTATGTGAGTTTATTTTGTTTTATTATTTAATTTACTCAACTCAGTGCAATTCAGAACAAAGATGGGCAACATATTTGTAAAACCTCGAGGGAAAGTCTGAAATTTCAAAACTTAGCTTCTCTACTGCTACTGCTTTTTCCCTAACAGAAAATGTGAAATAAAATAAAATAAATAAAATGATACTTATTTACAAACCTTGCCCATTTATCAAGCTTGTCTGCTTCATAGCAGTCACGAGAATGTCTCTATGACCTATTTGAATATCTCTCTAAATTTAAATTGTGTCTAGTTGTTCTGGTATCCTAAATAAAGTTCTATTTCCATCTTTTAAATGGAAGCTGACAACAGAAGAGCTTTAAATAATCTCTATACTCTCTGCTACTTTTATTATGTGCAAATAACTATGCATGAACTTGTAATTAACATTGTGTCCTGTAGACTCATTTTCCATATGAGTCTGGAAAGATTGTGTGAATAGCTCACAATTTTGTTCTTATATGATTTCTTATTAGACATCAAATGTACTAAAGTGATAAATTTGTGTAGCAATAAAAATATTTTTGTGTGATTTTCCTGATTTTCAAATATGAAGTAACAGTGGTCTAAAATCCTAGGAAAGAAAGCTTCATCCACATCCACTCTATATTTGCTTCTAAAAGAAATCTGGTTAAAAGGACTTCTTTCTGGGAGTTTCAATAAAATCTCCTCCAAATAACAACTTTTCAAACTTACTGTGCTGAGGGCATAGGGTTTCAATAAAATTCCTTTCCAAATAATGATTTTTCAAACTGACCTCACCAAGGGGCATAAACATATGAATGATTTACTTTGATCTTATTTGTGATCTTATCCTTTCAGCCACACAGGCTTGAAAACTCTGTCTTTGACTCTTTCCTCTTCTTTATCCCATCATCCACTCAGGTTACAATATAATCTTTTCTTTGGGGATATCTTTCAGACCTGATCTTTGTCATCCTACTTGTCGAGACTTTCCACAGGTACTGTAACTATCAGATAAGAGTGGTCCACTTGAATCACCATCAGGCTTAGAGTTAAGGCAAATCCCTGGTGTTTGGATCTTTCATTTACCCCTTCAAGGAGCTCACTGAGTTTCAGTTTCCTCAAATGATATTCTGACCATCATCAACTTTATGGGTTTTGTGGAGTTCAAATAGCAAAGATAAATAATAAAAACACACAATCTTAAAATGGGAACATATTATAAGTCTATAAGGGATTGTTTTTTTGAAATGGAGTGATGTGTTGGAAATAGTATTGGCATTGACTCAAAGAGAAATAGATTTTAATACTAAATTTTCAAGGAACCAGTTACTAAGGTCCCTGAAAAGTGGAAATCATTAGTAAGAAATATGTTTTTTTCTCCTCCTAAATAGCTTATTTGAATCCATCCAACACACTGCTTCTGGGTGAGAGGCCATATAGGAAACAGGTCTTGCAGACTTTCAACTATGGAGAATATAGCTGACCAATGGCATCACCTGCTGTACTCTGAAATTCATCACAGTCAGGTTTACAAAGGTTCTTCCTCAATGACCAGGCATGGTAAAAATAGTTAAGTCAGACCTTTTCCTGAAAAACATAAAATTCCTCTGACTTAGACTCTGAGACTGCCAGCAGACCATCTGAACATTCCCTAGATATTAAGGCTGTCTTTCTCACTTCCTTGTGATCAGATTTGCATGCTGTCTCATAAGTCTCCCAGGCTTCACCCATTCTCTTCCCATTTTCTCCACTGTGATGGTTAATTTTAGGTGTGGACTTGACTAGATAGGGTGACTTCTAGATAGTCGATGAAGCATTATTTCTGAGTATGTCTATGAGGATGTTTTTGGAAAAGAATGATGTGTGATTCAGTGAACATGGTAGGAAAGATCTGCCTTCAGTGCAGGTAGGCACCATCTAATCACCTGGAGGTCCAGATGTAACAAAAAGGCAAAGGAAAGGTGAATTATTTCTCTCTCTTCTAAAATGGGATGCCCTTCTCCTCCTGCTTTGGAAATTGGAACTCCAAATTCTCCAGCTGTTGGACTGTGGGACTTGCACCAGTGGCCTTTTGGGGTTCATGAGCCTTCAGTTGTAAACTGAGAATTGCATCATTGATTTATTTGGTTCTCAGGCCTTTTAACCTTGAATGAGCCATGCTACTGGTTTCTCTCATTCATCAGCTTGCAGATGGCCTGTTGTGGAACTTCTCAGGCTTCATGATCAAGTGAGCCAGTTTCCTAATAAATCCCCTGTCAACTCATCTGTCATCTATCTATCTATCTATCTATCTATCTATCTATCTATCTATCTATCTATCTCCTACTGGTTCTATTTCTCTGAAGAACTGTGACCAATACACACACATACTATTACAGACTTTTCAGGTTGCTATAACAAAAGTATCATGAATTGGGGCTTATAACAAAAAAAAATTACCTATTTCTCACAATTCTGGGGCTGGGAAGTCCAAGATCAAGATGACAACAAAATGGGTGTCTAGCAAAGACCTTTTCTTCATACACAGCAACTTTTCATTGTGTGCTCACATATTAAAAGGGACAAATAAGCTCCTTTGGGCCTCTTTTATAAAAACACTAATCCAGTTTAGGAGGGGTATGCCCTCATGACCTAGTCATCTCTCAAAGGCTGACCTCTATTACCATCACACTGGGGATTACTTTTCAATATATTTTTAGAGGACATAAATATTCAGACCATAGCATTTTATCTCTGGTCCCCAAAAACTTATGTCCTTCTTCCATGCAAAACACATTCATTTTATCTCAACAGCCCTCAAAGTCTTAACTCATTCTAGCACCAATTCAAAAGTCTGAAGTTCGGAGATTTATTTAAAATTAGATATGGGTGAGGCTCAAGGTAGAAGCCATCTTGTGGTAAACTTCCCTTCAGATTTGAGCCTGTAAAACCAAAAAAGTTATGTGCTTCCAAAGTACAGTAGTTGGAAAGACATAGAATAAACTTTCTATTCCAGAAGGGGAAAATAGAATAAAAAATAAATGTAGAACAGTTCCCAAAGTAAGTAACGTATAACAGTTCCCAAGTAAGTAAATGTATAATAGTTCCCAAGTAAGTCCAAAACAAACAGGGAAAGCATTAAATCTACAGGCTCAAGAATAACCTTACTTGATATCATGCTTTCAGGACTCTAGGACAGAGATTGGACCCCAAAGTTCCAGATAGCCCTGTCTCAATATCTTTACTGGGCACTGTTCTAGTGGGGGCTCTCTGCAGTGGCCCAACTCTAAAGCTTTCCCTTTGCCTGGATCACCCAATGCTCTGGGTGGCTAACCATTCAAAATCAAGGGCTCCCAGCTCAGGTATTCTGGGCATTTGTAGACATGGCACTGTGAGGATGCCAACAAGATTTACCACCTGGGTTTTTATAGGGGTGAACACTGTGGTCCACAGCACGCAGGACTGCTGAAGCCACACCTGTATAGCTGAGAAGCTCTATGCTGGAATGCTGGGAAAACATACTTAAGGTGGCACTAGTCAGTAAGTGCTAAGGTCCCATGGTGCCCAGGGACCCTCTTTTGATATCATTTTGTCCCCTAGTTCCTGGCACTATGGTTTGTGATGTGAGAAGCAGCACTAATAACCTTTGAAACGCCTTTGGAGTCAATCTCCCATTTTTTTGATGAATAGCACCTGACTTCTACTTATCCATACTAATTTTCTTATCAGTCACTTTGCCACACCCTAATATTCTCTGCCAAACATCTCTTCTCATTTATTAACCATATGGCCAGGCTGATAATTTGCCAAATATTTGAGATATGCTTCCATTTTGATTAAAATTTGTCTTTACGTTGTTTCTCTCTGCATTTCGCTATAAGCATCGAAGCATGGCTCTTTCCAACCTTGAATGAGCCATGCTACTGGCTTCTCTGGTTCACTGGCTTGTAGACGGCCTGTTGTGGGACTTTTCAGACTTCATAATCATGTAAGCCAATTTCCTAATAAATCCCCTGTCAACACATCCGTCATCTATCTATCTATCTATCTATCTATCTATCTATCTATCTATCTATCTATCTATCTATCTATCTTATATATCTCTCTCCTATCTATCTATCTATCTATCTATCTATCTATCTATCTATCTATCTATCTATCTATCTCCTATTGGTTCTATTTCTCTTCAGAACCCTGACTAATACACACATACAAAAGCACTGGGATTACAGGCATGAAGACTTACTTGGGAAATTTTATACATTTACTTACTTGTAAATGCATTAGTAATTAGTAAATGTAAATTAGAAATTTCCTCAGTCAGCCAGGCACAGTGGCTCATGCCTATAATCCCAGTTCTTTTGGAAGCCAAGGCAGAAAGATTGCTTGAGGTCAGGAGTTTAAGGCCAGCCTGTGCAACATATCAAGATTGTATCTCTATTTTAAAAAGAGGCTAAAAAAATACAGGTGCATGCCTGTAGTCCTAGCTACTCAGGAGGCTTGGGTGGGAGGATTGCTTGAGCCCTGGAGTTTGAACCCTATAGTTTGAATTATGATTGTGCCACTACATTCCAGCCTGGGTGAGAGTGAGACCCTGTCTCTAAAAATAAAAATAAAATTTCTTAGTCAAATATCCAATTTCATCAATCATAATTCTACCCTCCACAAAAGTAATGCAGTAAAGTTCTTTGGCACTTTATAACAAGTATCACCCTTCCCACAGTATCCAATATCATGTTACTCATTTCTATCTAAGACCTCCTCATGATGGCCTTTATTGCCTATATATCTATGAATATTCTGTCAGGACCACCTACAAAATCTCTAAGAAAATAAGTTTTCCTTATAGCTCTCCTTTTCTGAGCCATCACCAGAATTGCCCTTAACATTCTATTTCCAGCAATATAGTATTTTTCTAGCATCTGTCTCAAAACTTTTCCAATCTCCATCCATTGACCTGTTCGAAAGCCACTTCCACATTTTTTTCCCACACTTTTTCCCCACTCTCCATGCCAATTTCTGTCTAAGTCTGTTCAGGTTGCTATAGTAAAAATACTACAAACAGGGTGGCTTATAAACTACAAACATTTATTTCCCATAGTTCTGGTGGCTGGGAAGCCTAAGATCAAGGCACCGGCAGATTTAGTGGCTGATGAGAGCATGTACCTCATAGAGAGCACTTTTGAGCTGCATCCTTACATGGTGGAGGGGGCAAACAAGCTCTCTTGGGCTTAATTTATAAGGACACTAATCTCATTAATGGGAGCTATGCCCTCATGTTCTAGCCATGTCCCAACTTGTTAATATCAACACACTGGGAATTAGTTTTCAACATATGAATTTGGTGGTGGGGGGGTGCATAATTATTCAGACCACCATGATTTTCTTAATAAAATATTGGTACATTAAATCCAGTCTCAGTATTTGATTCTCAGAGAACTCAGACTAAGACAAGAGGTAATCTGGAACACCCTCAAAAAACTACTCTCAGTTACCCTCTGGGAAATCATTGCTGACAAAATTATAGCCATTTCTATTACCACAATTAACCCCATCATGTTCAATAAAATTATGCAATGTTGTTTCTAGTGTATAGTAAACCCTCAAATATACTATGTTTAAATTTTAGAGTGGTCAGATGTGAAAAAATTCTTATCATTTGTATAAGAAAAGGTAAGGACTTGGAGATATTAAGTAAATTGACATATCAAAAATGGTTAATAGATGGCAGATGAGTCATTTAATCTTGTTCTGCCTGACACAAAACCAAAGTTTCTGAGAGTTGTGAGATGCTACCTCCTGGATGTCATCTAACAATTGCCATCTGTGTAACATAATCCAGCTCAAACTTATCTCCAGCATTATCGGCCTCTTCTCTCCCATTAGTCCTCTGTCTTAACATGTTTGTGTTCCCAAAATTACCACACACTTTATAAATGAGAAGCATTCTAAGGGTTCAATAAACATGTATTAATTAATGAATCAACATACAGATAATGGACAAGTTAGCTTTTTAAAACTTACAGATTTTCAAATCCTATTCATAAATATTCAGTTCAAAATATTTCTGACAAGTTCTTTTAATGTTGTTCAAAATACAGTATCATTACAAGCTTGACAAACATCAGCACAGTCACTAAATATTGTAAACAGAAAGAATGTAATTAAGTTGTCCAAAGTACACAGTCAAATGTTTGTAGCTCTCCTCTTACTGAATTTAAATATAGCCACAATGTAACCACAAGATTATTTGCTCATACAGCGGCATTTTTGTCATTTTTGACTCTTCTAGATTTTTAATATATTTATTGTTCATGTGATTGTATTTTTACCAAGAATTAAAACACCTATAAGATAGAGTGATTTATGCAAAGTATCATTTATACCTTAATTAAACAGGCCAAATTAAAACAAGGGGAAAAGTTGATATGATGCCAAGAGTATATTTATCCCTAGTCATACCTAAACATTTATATATTTTTTTCTGTTAAATATTTGACAAAATATTTCTCAAGTTTAATGATAAGAAAAGGAAGTTTATTGTATGGGTGAAACCAAATTTCTGGAGTATAGTTTAAAACAAAAAACTAAAACTAACTAGTATGGATGTTTTTAATGCCATTTTTATCAGTGTGTGTCTTTTACATTTCTGAATCTCATTTTGTTTATTGCTGTGGAAATTACTACTTGCCAAATTGCATCCCCATGGTGTGAGTGAATCACAGACGTACAAGTGTATTCAAAGCTGTCACATTTAGTACAAGAAAACTTGGAGCTTGAAATTGGCATTCAAATGACAAACTAATCCTACTGTTTACAATGCCAGAAATGTGCTATTAAGTGCCAGGTTTATGCAATAAAAAAAGGTGAATGCATTTTCTCAGTTTAAAGAAGGTAAAACATGGTTTGTTAAACACAATGTATGTTTAAACTGAAACATTAAAGTTACAAATAGTCATTAATACAATAGCCTGAAGTCATTGTATTACATTTATTTCATTCTTTCCACCACTTTTAAGAGCACCAGTTACGTGCAGAACACTTTGGGACTCAGTTTGCAAGAGGTGTAGAATCTAGTATGGGAGGAAAGACGTGCATACAAAACGTCATATACATTATTTAAAGTTACAAACATCATATGCAGAAGAATTTTGGTAAAATGATAGCTTGAGTGGACAAATCTAAATAATTCTTTTCCAAATTAATGAAATCTCTGATTTAAAAAAAAAACTTTCAAAATAAATTATGAACTTAATTTGGAAATTGAAAGAAATTGAAATATTCATCTCCATTAATAGGATACAATTAATAAATGAATCTTACCACTGCTCACTTGCCAGATCAAATCCTAACTTCATGGCTCATCCATTTGCCTCTGTGTTTTGTCAAGTGGTCTTAGGAATCCAAGATGAATGTTGTGGGATATCTGGGGCTAAGAATTAACTGAATGCTTATGTGAACACCATTGGCAATACCCTGAAGCAAGAGGCTCCAGCTAAGCTGTGCCCAGATTTCCGGGCCATAGAAACCTACAGATAATCAATGTGTTTTGTTTTAAGCTACTATAACTGCGATAAGTTTATTATGCAGAATTAGATAATGAAGATACGGTATGTCACTGTCACAGCATCCTTGGGTTGTCGCTGCAGCAGCTGGAAACCTCTTTGGCCAGTGGTGCCTTTACCTGAGTTTTGCTCAGGCCTGCTGTGCTTGTTCAGCCCACTCAGCCCTGCAGGCTGCACTCCACTTGCACTACCAGCCCAGATCCTGTGACTGCCAAGGGCAAGCCAGGCACAGAACAGTGAAGGGTGTGTAAACGAGTGTGTGGTCCAGCCACTGAGCACAGCCAGACATGCTGTGTGCAGTGGGATGGGCAGTTTCAGGCACTGGCACGGGCAATGGCTCCATGCGATGCTGCAGCAGGACCAGGCATACCGCAAGTGGCTTCCACTGTGGCCACCAGGAAACACAGTAGCACTCAGAAGCTTGGAGATGCCAGAAACTGCAGAGCCCTAAAGAAGGTGTCACAACCCAAGCTTGGGGAGCCCCTAGGTCTGGGATCCCCAAAGGGCCACAGCTCTTCTCTGCTTCTCATAGCCTGCAGTGTGATGGGGGTGGGGGGGAAGGTGTGTTTCAGTGCTGTTTGCGTTACATCTCTTTCATTCCTGTCATTCAATGGGACACAAGTTCTTGTCCTGCATCCAGGAAGAATGAGGTACCTGGACAACTGGAAGGTGAGCAAGGCAAAGAGGTGTTTTATTGAGCGACAGTACAGCTCTCAGGAAACCTGAAGTGGTTAGCTCTTATCTGCAGGCAGGTCTTCCTGTCTTCTCTGCAGCCTTCAGCAGAGAAGAGACATGGAGTGGGTAGCTCCAGTCTGCAAGCAGGTTATTAGGTGGTCTCTGCAAGTCTGGTTGAGTTCAAGGTTTTTATGGGCTTCAGAAGGGAGGAATTGTGTGCTGATTGGTCCATGGCAGGCCCAGAAAAAACACCGTTAAGTTCTCACTCTGGCAGCTTGGCCCCCCTTCTTTAGGCTGTTCCTGACTTGAAAGTGGGGCTTCACCAGAGACCCCTTGTTTTCCACCCAGGAGCCTCTCTGCCTCATGCCATCAACTGCCATTCATGGCACCTAGGCTATTTGTGCTGAAGGGCACCTGGAAGCCTGCACCAAGCCACCCTCAACCCCCTCTTGCCTCCCTCCTATGCTTGTTGTGTCCAAAGTCCAGAGGGGGCCAAGGTGGCAGAGGGCTGGTATGTTGGTGTCACCTCAGGCACGCACATACCTGGATGGGTCACAACAGAGCCCATGGTTGGCTTCAACTTTGTTCCAGAATTGGAGTGGATGCCAGGAGCAGGGAGAGACCAGGCAGTGGGAGCAGGCACTTCTAATCCTGTGGGGGCAGGAGGGGGCTTCCTGGGCCACCAAGTGAATAGGGATGTCCTGTTCCAAAGTCAATCTAGGTGCCTGCAGCTGCACCTGGGAGGGTGGGGCACCTGCACAGCCAACTCGGAAGACAATGGGGCTTCTGCCTCTTCTCAGCTCCCACTGGCTCCATAGAGGGCACAGCCTTGACCACACCTCCCCTGCTGCCACCAGTGTCTTGGCAGTGGTTGCTCCAGACAGGCTGCCACTGCCATCATTGCTATAAACAAGAATTCCCATGTAGTATAATCTGTTATCCTTCAAAATCTGAGTATTATAAATTTTGCTTCCACTGATGGCATTTTTTTCATTTCATCAAACAGTTATACATTTACATGATAAATACCAAATAATTAAATAAGTATGGGGGAGTATGAAGAAGCCTGTAGGGGAGTTCTGTGTCCAAAGAGAGAAAAAAAGTGGAACTCAAAATAACCACAAGCCTACAAAGTAGGTTTATAAGGGAAAAAAAGCAGAGAAATAAACCACAACCAAGAAACTTGGAAAACAAAGCTTGGAAGTTGTCATTTCTATCCTAACCACAAGTACAATGCTGTACAAACTGAATAATCAAAAAATCTTCTTAGATCTGTAAGAGGTGAGTCAAAGGACAAACTGCTGCCCCTAAAATAGGACAGACAGGCGGCCGCAGAGAATTACAACATATCAGAGCAGATCCCTCCCCACGAAGAAGTGGGAAGGAGTGCTGGGATAGAAAAACCTGAACTATACTGGATTAATTCCTGGAGATTCAGTGTGGACAAGTGTGAAAGTTAAAAACTCCAGGAGGACCCAGTCATAGGGGTCCCCACATTTTTGTAAGTTTTGCCTCTAGGAGTTTGACTGGGTTCTCATAGTAAATATCAGAGAAAAATATCCTGGAGGGGAGGAAAACAGAAACCACTTTGAAACAAACCAGAGTGCCCTGATCTTAATAAGGCCTTCCCTCAGGAGAAACTAGTTAACCAGAGCTTAACCTACTAGAGTTCTCTCATAGCCTAATTGACCTAGGTGTAGGGGAGGGAAATATCCAACTCTAGTCCACTTTAGCCATACTGAACAATTTGAGCAGTGTGATGTTGGAGGGCTGAGAAATCCTGTGATGTTCACCATCCAGAGGCATAGGCATAGGCCTACTAAAAGACTGAAACACAATTACAACTCTGTAGAAGGCTTCCCTGGACAGAGCTACTTTTCCAGCAAATAATAAAGGCCTAGTTACAGAAGGTTTTTTCCCAATTACATCATGTACAACTATTAAGAAAAAATTACAAGGAATACTAAATGGCAAAAAACAGATTGAAGAGACACAATAAACATCAGAACCAAACATGAGAAAAGGTGCTGGAATTATCAGGCTGGGAAATTAAGACAACTGTCATTAGTATGCTAAGGACTCTAATGGATAAAGTAGACAACATGCAAAAATAGATGGGGAATGTAAACGGAGAGATAGAAATTCTAAGAAATAATCAATAATAAGTGCAAGAGATTAAAAGCTCTGTAACAGAAATGAAGAACACCTTTGATGAGCTTATTAATAGACTGGATACAGCTCAGGAAAAAATGCCTATGCTGAAAATATCTCAATGGAAACTTCCAAAATTGAGAAGCAAAAAGAACAAAGAATGAAACATCTTAGAACAGTGGTACAACTACAAAAGATGTAACATACATATAAAGAGAAAATGAGACTACCAGAAAGAGTAGAAGAGGAAAAAATCAGAATAAATATTTGAAGCAATAATGCCTGAGAATTAATATCATAAACCATACCACAGATCCAGGAAGCTCAGAGAATACTATGCAGATGAAATGCTGCACCAAGGCGTATCATTTTCAAATGACAAAAAAATGAATAATAAAGAAAAATATCTTAAAAGAAAACAGAAAAGAAATTGCCTCTAGAGGAAGAAAAATAAAAACTGGACTCAACTTCTTCTTAGAAACCATGCAAGCAAGAAGATAGTAGAGTAAAATATTTAGTGTAAAGAAAGAGAGTGAGAATAAAAGAACCAAGCAAGCTAAAAATCATTACCCTGTGAAATTATCCTTCAAAATTGAAAGAGAAATAGAAAAATAAAAATTGAGAAAGCTTATTGCAAGTGGATCAACCTTGCAAGAAATTTTACATAGATTCTTTAGAGAAGGAAAATAACATAGCTCAGAATTTTCAAAGACTAGAAATTATACATTGTCTTCTCTCCGATTACAATGCAATTGAAGTAGAAATCAATAATAAAAAGTTACTAGAAAATCACAGCTATGTATAGAGTAAACAAACCATCTCTAATACATAGGTCAGGTAAGAAATCACAAAATAAATTTAAAATATTTTCATTAAATAGAAATGAAAATGCAACTTAGAATTTTTCACATGCATTAAAAGCAATGTTTAGAGAAAAAAGTGTTTGTATTGAATATATATGTTAGAAAAGAAGAAAGGTCTAAGTCACTCATCTAAAATGCCATATAGGAAACAGGAAAAAGAAGAGCAAATTAAATTTAAGGTAAGAAGAAAAAAAAAATAATGAAAGTTAGAGAAAACTCAAACTGAAAGCAGAAAATCAATTGAGAACATCAATAAAAACAAAAGCTGGTTGTTTGAAAAGATCGATAAAATCATTAAGCCTTCAGCAAGTTTTACAAAAAAAAAACAGAGAGGATACAATTACTAATATTATAAGTGAAATAGAAAACATCACTACAGATTCTACAGACAGTAAAACATTAATAAAGGAATATTATGAACATTTCTATGCCCACAAACTTGATAACCTAGATAAACCAATTCCTTAAAAGATACAATCTGACAAAACACACAAAAAGAATTGAACAAAGTGTATAGGCCTATAACTGTTAAGGAAATTGAATCAATAATTGATAATATTAAAAACAGAAAGCACCAGGCTCAGATGAATTCATTGGTGCATACTACCAAGCATTTAAGACACAAACCATACCATGTCTCTACAGTCTCTTTCAGAAAGTAGAAACAGAGGGGTATGTTTACTTATTCTGTGAAGCCAGGATCATCCTAATACAAAAATCAAAGACATTACAAGAAAACTGCAGACCGATATTTCTTATGAAGACAGATGCAAAAATTCTCAAAAATTAGCAGATTTCATCCAGCAATGTATAAAATATTATACACCACAACCAAGTGTGATTTGTCCTAGGTATGTAAAGCTGGTTTAGCATTCAAAAATCAACTAACATAATCCATCACACCAAAAGCAAAAAAACAAAAACCACATGATTGTATCAATAGATCCTGAAAAAGCATTTGACAAAACTTAATGCCCATTTATGGCATTGATAAAAATATTTGAAGCTGATAAAAAATATTTACAATAAATTTTATAGCTAACATGATACTTAATGATGAGAAACTCAAACCAATCCACTAATAACAGGAACAAATCAAGAATGTCTCTTTTCACCATTTATTTTCAACACTGTACTGGAAGTCCTAACTATTTTAATAAGATCAGAAAAAGGAATTAAAAGTATGTTGATTGGAAAGTAATAAATCTGCCATTATTCACAGATGACATGGTTATTTTTGGAGAAAATTTAAAATAATTTATTAAAAAAAAATACACTTGGAACAAATAAGTGATTATAAGAAGGCTGCAGGATACAAGAGTAATATGCAAAATTAAATCTCTTGTCTATATATCGGCAATGAACAAATGGGATTTAAAATTAAAGACACATTATTGTTTATAATAACACTCAAAAAGTAAACACTTAGATATAAATTTAATAAAATCTATAAAATATATATGTGAAGAAAACTACAACACTCCAAGGAAAAAAATTAAAGAACTAAAAAAAATGGAGAGATATTCCATTTTTATGGATAGGAAGACTAAATACTGTCAAGACATCGATTCTTCCTGGCATAATCTATAGATTCACCACAATCCCAATAAAAATTCCAAAATGTGATTGTTTGGCTTTTGACAAACTAATTATAAAGTTAATATGAGCAAAGTATAGTAGTCAAAACATTACTGAAGGAGAAGAACAATATTAAAGGACTAATGCTACCTGATTTCATGACTTACTGCAAAGCTAAAATAATCAAGAACATGATGTGTGGTAAAAGAATAGACAACTATATCAATGGAATACAATAGAAAATCCAGAAATGGACCTATATAGATGTAGTCAACTGATCTTTGAGAAATGAGCCAAGGATATATAACTGAGAAAACACAACCTTTTCAACAACAATGCTGGAAATACTGGATATCAACATTAAAAAATAAAAAAAAAATCTAGACACAAATTTACACCCACCACAAAAATTAACTCAAAATGGATCACAGACCTGAATATAAAATGCAAAACTATAAAACTACTAGAAGATAACAGAAGAAAAAACTTAGAACTTGAGTTTGGTGAGGATTTTAGATACAACATCAAAGGTATGGTTCATAAAAGATACAATTTATAATCTAAACTTCACTAAAATTAAATTTTTTTCTCTGTAAAAGACGCTATCAAGAGAATGATAAAGCAAGCTGATGACTGAGAAAAAATTTGCAAAAGGTATACCTGATAAAGGACAGTTATCCAAAATAAACAAATAAATATTTAAATTCAACAATAAGAAAACAATCAATTGGATTAAAAAAATAGGCCAAAGACCTTAACAGACCTCTCAAAAAAAAAAGACATGCAGTTGGCAAATAAACATATGAAAAGATTTTCTTAATATATATTATAGAGAAAATACACATTGAAACAATAAGATACTATTACATCTATTAGAATGGCCAGAATCCAGAATGCTGATAGCACCAAATACTGGTGAGCAAGTGGAGCAACAGGAACTCTTATTCACTGCCAGTGAGAATGCAAAATGGTACAGCCATGTTAAAAGACATTTTGTTGATTTCTTACTAAACCAAACAAAATGTGCTCTTACCACACAACCTACCAGTCATATTCCATGGTATTTATCCAACGAATTGGAAAATTTATGTCCATGCAAAAATCTACACAAGCATGTTTATGGACACTTTATTCATAATTGCCAAATATTGGAAGAAACCAAGATGTCCTTCAGTAGGTGAATGGATAAAGATATTGTGGTAACTCCAGACAATAGAATATTATCCAGTGCTAAAAAGGAATCAGTGATCCAGCCAAGAAAATATGTAGAGGAACCTTAAATGCATATTACTAAGTGAAAAAAAACTAATCTGAAAAGGCTATGATTTCAATAAATGATATCCTGAAAAAGATAAAAGTATGGAAACAGTAAAAAGAATAGTGGTTGACAGGGGCTAGTGAGGGGGGAAGATGAATATGTAAATCAGAGAGGGATTTAAGGGCATTAAAAATACTCAGTATAAAACTGTAATGGTGGATACATGTCCTTATATATTTTTCCGAATCCCCAGAATGTACAATTCCAAGAATGAACCCTAATATAAGTTATGGACTTTGGATGATAATAATATATCTAAGTAGGTTCATCAGTTGTAACAAATATACCACTCTGGAGAGGGATGTTGATAATGTGGGATGCCAGGCATGCATAAAGGCATAGAAATATGTCAGTACCATCTCAATTTTGCTATGAACTTAAAACTGCTATAAACAAATAGCCTTTAAAAAACTGAAGCTAATAATTATGTTGACTGATGTTTTTAAGTTCTTCTGATAGTATGTAAGTATCTCTCTACATATACATATAGGTCTACATATATACATTTTCATCTATCAACCTAATCTATTTATCTGTAGCTATATAGATATAGCTATGCAGATATAGCTGTACAGATATAAATTAGATACATTACTTTAGTTTCACTGTTAATGTTATAAAAATCTAAAAGGAAATCATATAATTAAAATAAATATTATTTTGGTGTTCATGAGATTAATACCATGCTAAAATCACATAAGCTGATATCTTTAGAAGATATGTAGTATATAACAAATATGTACATCAATTGCTTTAGTGACTATTTTTCAATTAATGTAAAATTGAATCATTATTTACTTTGATATTCATTGAACATATTAATAGTGTTGGCAACACATGCTCCTACTGTTGCTAGGAGCTGCAGTGTTTGGATCTCAGGTTCTTTTTTCTTTTTTTTTTTTTTTTGAGGCTCATTTTCCATTTTAAAAGGAGATGATATTGGCTTCAAAGGGTATCTTAGCCAAAATATCTATAATTTATGAAAAGATATTTTAAAACATTCTTTAAGATACACAATAGTAAAAGAGATTAAGTTTTTATACTGGAATACCTTACAAAATACTTAGAGTCATAAATCAGACATAGATTATATAAGAAGAGCCTATTCCATGTCTCTACCTTCCTTTATCTGACTCTGGGTCACTGCTCCTCTTTACTCTCTCACGCCCATCTCCTTTTTGGTCT
This sequence comes from Homo sapiens, assembly GCF_000001405.40. Taxonomy (NCBI): domain Eukaryota; kingdom Metazoa; phylum Chordata; class Mammalia; order Primates; family Hominidae; genus Homo; species Homo sapiens. Next base: position 164,471,002 of record NC_000003.12, on the reverse strand, counting down.
AAGATTTCCTTGAGAACTGATCAAATATTTACAAAAAACCTGAGTCTCAGGCATTCATTTTGGTAGAAATGTAGATCAGGATCTTTGGATTCACAGTCCAGGGTTAGAAAAATGCTTGTCTGAATTCTTCACTCCATAAATCTTGGGTAAACACTGAGCCTCAACCTAGTATCTTGTACCCATCATGCTTAATACAACCTAAGAACTAGATTTGTATCCTATACCTCATCCTAATGGGTCTAATAGATATGTTAGCAGTCTAGGTTCTTTAAAACTGAGACCCTGAATTCCAACCCTTTGTGTAATTCTTGCTAGAGGCCTAAGGAATGCCCCACATACGCCTAAGGAATGCCCCACATACGCCTAAGGAATGCCCCACATATGCCTAAGGAATGCCCCACATATGCCTACTAAAAGAATGGAAATCTTATTCACAGCCATATATCTCTGAAGAATGTATAGAACCTTTCTATGTAAGCACCCTCAAGATTCCTTATATCAACGTCCTTTCTACCTGATTTGACCAAGCCTCTAGATTTTGTCACTTTCACTACTGTACCTTAGATAAGTACCCTGTGTCTTACTGTTCTCTTTTCCCATTTATCTGTTGCTGCGTAGCAAGCCAAAAAAACCTGTGCAACTTAAAATAACAACTGTATATTGGTTTTCATGATTTTTAGGTTGAATGGGGTCACTCTGGGCTCACTCACGTAGCTGTGTTCATCTGCCTGTCAGCTGGAGGCTAGGTTCAACTGAGACGGTGAGCATGGCTCTACCTGTCTTTCCATAGGGTTTTTTGCTCCAGTTTCTTTACAACATGATGTTTTCATGTTCAAAAGTCACAAAAATCTTGTTGCATTCCATTAGTCAAAGCATGCCTGAAACCATCCTCATCATTCAAACTAAGGGAAAATAGACTCTACTTCTTGATAATGGCAACAGCAATTTTCATTACTAAGTATATGATTAAAGGAAATGAAAGAAATTTTGTGACAAATTTTGAAAACAATCTACCACACCACTGTGAACCCCAAAAATCTGAGAAAAATCTCAGTTATTTTAGAAAGTTTATTTTGTCAGTGTTGAGGATGCACGCCCATGACACAGCCCCAGGAGATCCTGCTGACAAGTGCCTACAGCAGTAGGGGCACAGCTTGGTATTATAAATTTTAAGAAGATATGAGACATAAATAAATTATCTACAAGATGTACATTGGTTCAGTCTGGAAAGGTGGGACTACTCGAGGAGAAGGCAGGACAACTCAAAGTGGGGAGGGTGCTTCTAGATCATAGGTAGATAAGAGACAAATGGTTGCATTCTTTTAAGTTTCTGATTAGCCTCTCCAAATGAGGCAATCAAATATGCATTTATTTCATTGAGAAGAGGAGTGACATTGAATAAAATGGGAGGCAGGTTTGCATAAGCAGTTCCCCGCTTGACTTTTCCCTATAGCTTAGTGATTTTGGGTCCCCAAGATTTATTTTCCTTTCACATTTCTCCCTTCTCTTTTTAAAAATCATTTGAAGAAGGCATTTTAGGAGAAAATGAGTCTCTGGTTGCAAGGTTTGACTGATCTTTCATGGCTAGGATGGTTTATTTCTAGGATGGTTTATTAGGAAAGTTCATTTTTAGCAAGTTGTGAAGTTTCATGTCTTATAAAAAGAAACTAAGTGGAGGAAGGGAGAAAAACAAAAACAAAAGAACATTCCTGGAAAATCAATATAGGTGACACTACTCTGAAGTTCATACATCAGTAGGTAGGTATGAAATGGTTTCTGTATGTAAACAGGTTGCTGTTATTTTCTTCTGAAGTTAATTTGTCTAGCTTCAGTTTGCAGGGTGTTACAAAAGCACAGCTTGGGCTTCAGTGACTCCAAATTACGAAAAATGAGGGGGGAAGAAGGAAAAAAGTTGAAAACATTATTTTGAATTCTTGTAGCCAAGAAAAATTTGAATTTGGTCCAAACTGTAGAAAACAATAAAAATTGAAAAACGGGTAAAACTAGAATCTAAAACAGATGTACTATAGTTTTAAAACATTTTTTTTCTCTCTCCAGTTTCCCATTTTGACTAAAGACAAATCATGGCAGGACTGATTTGTTTTATTTTACATTGCCTGATTATTTGTATATGGTGCAGCAAGAATAATTATTTTTTTACATAGGCTTTTAAATTGGCTTTGATGAAACCTTGTTTTATAGAAGGAGCCTCAGATAAGATTTTTTAAAAGCTGATCCCAGCCATGAATTTGTACCATCATATTTGTACATTTGTATCAACCTGTTAGTTGGGCGAATTCTTCTCCTCTTGAAGTTCCAAGATAAATATGGGGCTCCTGGGCCTGTCAGAAAGTGACATTCCTTATTTAACACAGTGCAGAAACCCTGTACAGGGATGGTGTAGACAAGGTATTAGGCCAGTTTTCTCAAGGGCCTTTTGTTTGCTCTGTAAGTTAAGTCTGATCCTTTAAAGGAAAGCACACCATTCCAGTGAAAGCCTTGGTAAAATAATCAGTTTCTCCAATTGTGTCCCGTTATAAATGAAAACAGATTCTTATTGCACTTATGTGAACATCTGTACTGCCATAAGTTAAGAAAATTCGCAAATAGTTCCCAAATTCTGGAGAAATCAGGAACAGAAAAATGAATATGTTCTAAATTTTGTTCCTACGTGTATACTAAATCGTTAAAAGCTGTCAATAGCTCAAAAGAAGTTTACTTGACTCTGAAAAAGCAAAACAAAGGATCAGCAACGTTTTAAGCAAAAATTCGACAAGATTACTTCAGTCTTCTATTAGATCAGTCCCTGTAGTTAATTCCTGTTCTGCTTGATATTCATGAACATCTTAGTTCTTCATGAGTTGTAAAGTTTTTTTCTCTTCTGATGTCACAATCTCCAAACTTATCAGAAACTTGTATTTGAGAGTATACGTTAGAGTTTTATAGCAGATTATAAAATCACCTTCTAAAGAGGACCAATAAAAGACAACAATTGTAGGTGGATGATGAAAAGTTTTAGGGCAGCCATAATCAAGGACACAGTTGACAAGAAAATTTGTTACTGCTGTGGCATACATAATTTAACATAACAATTATAATTATTAGTGATAATGTACATTAAGTCATGTCAGACTTATAGGAGTTTTTCATAATTTTGGAACACATACCAATAACATTCATACAAATACAGCCCAAAGAAAATAAAACACCATTTTATATTTGACAATGTTTCATATATAATTTTTCTACCAAATAAGCCAAAGTATGTCATTTTTGGGCTTTAGGAAACCTAATATCTTAAAAGATTAATTAGATCAGAAAAAGACATAATTTATAATTTGACTTTGGAAAGTTTGCCAAATATCAAAGGTTTAAAACACTTGATATCACAGGTCTTTGTAAAATAAGTCGTTTAATTGGCCAAAGTCAGAACTCAAGGATTTCAAAAAAAGGTGAAAACCTTCATTCTTTGAGAGAGTAGACTTAATTTTCAAAACAATAAGGCCTAATAAAAGCAGCATGAAGACAATTAAATTTGTTTTTCAAAATTTTATAAACAATTGATAAAATTTTATTCTTGATTATATGGTATAACTTCCATAAGCTCTTTATAACCCTTATAACATTTATTAAGGAGACAGTTAATGCTTAAAGAAAACCTTGTTAATCTGAAACAGGAGCCCATATGCTCATCTTACATCAGTGTGCCTTTGACATTAATGATTAACTTATAGAGAAGCTGAACTTATTCTCTTTTTCAATATCTGCCCTTACAATCTCACAGCACACCTCTTCCGTGATAATCCTTGGTCCCTGAGGAATTGAATAGCTTTAATTCCTGGTCTCAGGAATGCAGTTTATTTTTATTGGCATCTTCTACCAGGCCTGAAGAAGAGGCTTTAATTGCTATCAGTGTTTAAGAATTAGCAGGACTTGGAATCCTTTTTAGACCCAGAAGTCAAAGCCCTGTAACTCAATGTCACAAGTACTTTAAAAGCACATAAAGATACATGGATGTAATAACCTTAATTAATTTTCTAAAAAATCTCAGTTTTTTTCCTAAGCAAACCAAAAGTTAATACTAATGGTCTAGAAATTGTTCTGATAAAACATAAAATCTGTTAAACTAGTTACCAAAAGGCAAAATAAATGACCTTATGCACTGCACAGAATATTATGCTGGAATAATTCAATTCCTTCAGACCTTTAAGGAAACATTGTTAGCATCAGGCCACAACCAGTAGAACTTGAGGAAAAAAAAAAACATAATTAGCTGAAAATCAGTTGAAGGAAAGCATTACTATTTCAAGCCCTTTAAAAGGGGAGAGAAAACCAAAAACAGCAAGATGCAATAAAAGTTAAACTTCGGGTTAAAAAATCAAAATATCTTATAATTTATTAAAACAAAAATTAATCCCTACAAAATTTCATTGTTCCAAACAAAAAACTCAAACTCGTCTTCCCTGCTGGCAGTGAGCTCAAACTCTATAAAGGAGTTGCCTGCCTTCCATCATCATCGAAACAGGAAATCTTGCCTTCATCGTTGGAAGTAAGCAAAATTCCAAGAAAAAAGAGGAGGGCTTGTAATTCTAGAATTTTGGGAGACCAAGGCGGGTGGATCACTTGAGGTCAGGAGTTCAAGACCAGCCTGGCCAACATGGTGAAACTCTGTATCTATTGAAAATACAAAAATGTGCCAGGCGTAGTGGCATGTGCCTGTAATCCCAGCTACTTGGGAGGCTGAGGCAGGAGAATCACTTGAACCCAGCAGGCAGAGGTTGCAGTGAGCCAAGATCATGCCACTGCACTCCAGCCTGGGCAACAGAGCAAAACTCCATCTCAAAAAAATAAGGGTGGGTGGGAGGAGCTGTACAGCAAGATGAACTTTAGATCTCAACCAAATTTTGGAAGATCAGGGATTCTATGAAGGGGGTGCTCTCAGACCTCAGCAATTTGTCCTATGGGTTTGAGCCATAAAGTTAGCTCATGCTGGTTTCAAGCAATAGAAGATTTGTCAAAGGTCATGGGCATCTCCACTCAGAATCCCTTCGTGGTTACCAAAATGTAAACCTAGAAAATCTAAGACAGGTTACAGTTAATTTAGAAAGTTTATTTTGCCAATATTGAGGACAGGCTCCCATGACACAGCCTCAGGAGGTCCTGAAGACAACTGCCCAAGGTGGTAGGGGCACAGCTTGATTTTATACATTTTAGGGAGATATAAAACATCAATTAGTATGTTTGAGATGTACAGTGGTTCAGTCTGGAAAGGTGGGACAACTCAAGGCAAAGGTCAGACAACTTGAAGTGGGGAGAGGGCTTCCAGGTCATAAGTGGATAAAATGAAAATCACTGCATTCTTTTGCATTTCTGATTAGGCTCTCCAAATGAGGCAATCAGATACACATTTATCTCAGTGAGCAGAGGGGTGACTTTGAATAGAATGGGAGACAGATTTGCCCTAAGCAGTTCCCAGCTTGACTTCTCCCTTTAGCTTAGGGATTTTGTGGCCCCAAGATTTAGTTTCCTTTTACACCACTCTTAACTCCATTTTTACCAGATTAAATACCATCCCATATTTCACCCACTTCCATAATCATCCAAACAAGCCAATCTGCTGACTCACTTGAGCAATACGATGAGGATCTGATTCCAGTGCGATATGTCATAAACAAGTAGTAAGAAATAGCATGGGCCTTGAGAGAGAAATAATCTCTCCAGTTAAGCCAAAGAGACAAATTATAAACAACAAATTCAGACAGCAATGAAAGGAATCTTTAACTGAGACAGAGACTATATTTGTTGTCAATAACAAAGAGAATGATAACTAGTATTACAGCCAGAGCTGTAGAACCTTAGAATATTACAGTTTTGTCCAGCTACATTTTTCAGTTGATAGGTACATGTGTATGTTGGGATAGCTGAAAAATATGGAGTCCAAATAGTAAAATTACTACCCTGTTCAAGCTCTATTGCTTTCTCAAATCTATTGTACAAATCTCGATTTAATTGCCCTATGCCCACTTGAATTATAATATGACTGCATAATAAATGTAATATTATGAAATATTATAATATATTGCTTAAATATAAATTTAATTCAATATCATTTAGTTTCAGAAAGCTTTTATAAATCAAGGGATCAATTTTCATAGCATTAACATATCTACGCACATGATTTTAAAACCATTTTGCCTAAATATGCTTATGTTGGTTTAGTTTACTTATAAAACAATATAAGAAATATATACATCAAACTTTTTAAAACAGAGTTTCACTCTTGTTCCCCATGCTGGAGTGCAGTGGTGCGATCTCAGCTCACTGCAACCTTTGCCTCCTGGGTTCAAGAAATTCTCCTGCATCAGCTTCCGGAGTAGCTGAGATTACAGGCACCCACCACCACACCCAGCTAATTTTTGTATTTTTAGTAGAGATGTGGTTTCATCATGTTGGCCAGGCTGGTCTCGAACTCCTGACCTCAGGTGACCCACCCGCCTCAGCCTCCCAAAGTGCTGGGATTACAGGCGTGAGCCGTAGCACCTGGATCAAAATTTTTAATCTGAAGATTTCACTGTTTCTTAGAAACTATATCATTGAAAATAGACATTACACTTCAAATGGTAAATTTTTCTATACCATTATTCCAACTTTTAGAAAACCAGAATTTTAAAGTAAAGAAAATAATACATGTTTACCACAACACTAAAATATAAAAATAACACCAAAATCTGCCACAATTCAGATATTCTATTTAAATATTAATTCCTGAATACGTTTCTCTTCCAATGCACAAGACTGAATACTGCTGTACATTAATTCCGTTTAGTGGAAACAAATACAATTCTACTAGGTAAATCTCTAATATGTCTAGACTGTGAATTTGCTTTCAATATTGGCATCTAAAGATTATTTGTAAAATGATCTGAAATTGTGAATAAAACAACTAAAAATAGATGAAAGAAGGAAGAAATGAAGAAACAAAAAAGAGGAAAGGGATAAAGTGATAAACAGAGGGAAAGTGAATTGAAATAGCTTAGCTTTGTATGATTGCCAAGTAAATGGAATTTTATTTAAATAAAATGCTGAAAGATACAAGACAACATATTTTGTTCCTAAGATTTCATCTTTTCTTTACAGAGTATAATTGCTCAAATTGGGCAACTATTCAAATAAAAAAATAAACAGTACATTAAATTTATTAGACCCAAATAAATATCTCAAGATTATTATTTGATAGATAAAAATTATATTGTGATTTCTTTACATTTCAATTTAAGATAAAATAAGATGAGAAAAAAATCTATAAAATTAATCAAATTTGATAATTCTAAACCAAAAATCCCATAAAATATTGTGTTTTATTTGCTTGATAACTGTGGGAAAGTCCTGTCAATGTTGGTATAACTGAATAACTATAGTAAGTTACTGTCATTCATTGGCCACCAATTAAGGAACTGAGTAGGCAATTCTTCTCCAGTCACCCTAAGTTTGCTGACTTCTACCACAGGCTTCTAAGCCTTTTCTTCCCACAGCCTGTGCCTGCAGGTTGAGCCAAAGTTTCTAGACTTGAACAAGCACCCAAGTGTGAAAGAGCATTTGTGCTTATAGGAGAATCAGACACCATGTTTCTATAACAATCTGGCATTTTTAAAATTTTTGGAGGAGGGAGAAAAGAGTTCATTAAAAAAATTTCTTTGTTTATATGTCAAAACCATTCATAATGTGATTAATCAATTTCAAGGTATTGGCAAAACTGGAATATTTTATAATGTTTTAATATCTTTTTAAAATTTAAACTCCTATGTCTAAAATATTGGCAGAAAAGTAAAAAACAGTTTATAAATATCAACTTA